>NC_000006.12:5514545-5666060 GCF_000001405.40 Homo sapiens | reverse complement strand
GAATCTTCCCTTCCTCCCTCCAGATCCTGCCATGGAGCCAGAGGTACTTCCCTTCCCGGGGTCTCTTCAATGCCAGTGCCTGTGCGATTACAGCCACCTCCTCTCCAAACCCTCATGACATTCAGCCACCTCACCAACTCCTCCCACTCAAGGAAGGGTGGAATTGTCCTAAAAAGGAAGCAGAAAGCTCTCACCTCCTGCCAAGAAGCTGCCCAGTAGTTGGTAGTAACTGGCTTCTCACTTACCAATTTGAGTCCTTCCAGGGTCTGTTTTGTGAAAGGATGAAAAAGGCAATACTATACAGTTAAACCTCAAAGGAATTAGTTGAAAGAAATTTCCATTATCTTTTCAAATGGCTAAATGCATCTCAGCCCCTTATGTTTCCAGACATTGTTTAGAACGTCCTTCTCTCTATCCCAGATCACTAACATGCCTGCTCTGGGATATGTGGTTCTGGCTCAGACAACCTGATCTGAGGGGGGAAATAAATATGATAGAAACATAAAGCTTACTACCTTATTATCAACCGGTTAGAAATCACCTCATCCACACACACCCAGGCCTCTGTGTCTCTCTGACAGTCTCCTCTCAAATCTCTCTAGAGTCTGTGAGACTACAGCTCCGAGAAATGCTTCCTGTTTTGAAGATGGAGCTGCATCGTGACCTCCGCACACCTGCCTAGTCAGCATACCCCAGCATTCTTGCAGCTGTGACCCATGTGCTTAGCAGCACTGTGGAGTGCCAGCCTCAGCCACCCCTGGAGAGAGCCCGCAGAACCATGGCCCCTATTCACCTGCCAGCGGACCATGCTGCTTGTCAGCGGAGGCTCCAGATGTCAACTCTCCAGGGTGAGCCATCAGTCAACATCCTGGCCATCGGGGTTTTTGGGTGAGCTTCCTCAGGACAATGGTCTCATGTGACCGCCCAGCTCTACTTAAACACATTTAGTCCCTTCACAAATAGCCTGTCCTTAGAAAGCTCTTTGTGAGGAGCTGAAATCAACCTTTGATAACTTTCTTCCCACTGGTCTTTGTTTTGCCCTGAAGCAACAAGTATACTCCCTTTTCTCTTTAAAACAACAAATAAAACAAACAAATGAAAAAATGCCTCAGCATCACTGTATATGAAAGGATACAGGAAACCAGATGAAGAGAACTGGCAGGACCAAAATAATAAAAATGAAGTATCTTTGTGAACAAGTTAAGAAGCAGGAACAAGACTTCTAATCTCTTCTCCGTCCAGCTGCCCTTGAGCTACTGAATGATAGACCCATAGGAATCTTCAGAGATCACAGTTATATGCCTACGCTGAGGAAGCGTCCATGTTGGTGCTCTTAAGGACTAGGACTAGGATGAGATCCATCCTCAACATCTCATGTCCTACTAAGAGAGACAGACCAGTCTACAAGTAAGCATAACACAATGTCCACTTCTTATTCTAAGAACTTATAGTCATAGATTATAGGATATTTTGTGCTTTTGAGATGATGCTTTTAATGGATTAATTATTCATTTAAAACAGAAGTGGAGGAAACCAAGGGAAGTCAGCTTACTACCTTATTATCAAGCATGAGGTCTGGATATAACCTGTGAAATCATTGGTGCAAGACCAAGCAGACTCTGGGCGAGGGATCCATGCCCAAGGCCTGGAAGCCAGCTCCCAGGGTGACAGGCAAAGGCCTCGGCTCCCCTGGCAGGACCCTCGGTGTAACACTGGCTGCCTTGAAAGCATTTTCTAAGTGGAAATGAGTCAAGGGGGTCCACTTGATTCTCAGCCACTTGGATAGTCTTTGACTTCCAAGCCCTTTCTCTCCTCTCCAGCACAGGGGAGTTCCTATTTTCAGCATAAAATTAGCATAGAGATGAAACCATTTCAGGGAGCATAGAATGAACTGACACAGGAGACATTAAGCTTTCTGTTTCTAAAATGAAAAAGTTTTCCTTTTTCTTTAAAACCCCAAAGCTGCCACTTAATTTGTGTTCAGATTGCACTTTCACTGCAGAGCTGCTAACAGTGGGATACTGTTCAGAGGGGCTGAGGAGGCCAGGGGGGCCACAGATCTGAGCTGTGAACACAGCCATCTACTGTGGGGCCACTTAAGCACCTGCAGTCCATGGCCCTGGCCAGCGTGCATCCATCCTTTCTGCCTGCAGTAAAGACACCAGTGCAGCCCAGGTGCGCACAGTAGTGCTGAGTACATCTTCCCTGGAGATCTAAGGAGCAAGACCTGGTCCTGCTCACCTCCATGTCTGTCTCTGGCTCCCCTCATATCATTTCAAAGACATCTTCCTTGTTCTTTTGGACAGGATTTCTCTTCATCTCTCTTCCCACTGGAAAAATGATTCTAAATAGCTGGACTGGGACGAATGACAAATCTGCCATGGAGCCCGCGCCACCCCTTCTTCCACACCAACTTTTGTCTTTTTTTAGGTTTTCTCACATCTCTCCTCTCCGCTCTTTTAAGCTCTCAAGTCCTCTCCACTTTTTCTTTAGTGGATTGCTTCTGATCTCATCGAAACACATTCTCTGAGTCATTAACAATACGAGGCACTGAAGAAAGCTGTCTGCTGGTGGCCCCAAAGGCAAGCCCTGTCCAATGTCAATGTCAGGGCTTTTCAATTAAGGGAGCACAGAGCAGCTTTGAATAATGCCAGATCTTTACGGCAAATGATTCCATCCAAACAGATATTGGGAAGAATTTTTTTGAAAGTTCAATCATCTGATCTGACTGCTAAATGTTTAAAACAGCTGAAAAGGAAAGAGGTTTTATTTGTGCCAAGCTGGCTAAGATACTCCCTACATTGAAGAGCCATTCAGTAGCCAGGGGGGCTTGTTTTTAATGCAAAGGGAGTGGCTACTGATTATTATATATCTGGGAAATGAGAATGTAAACATTCACCTGCTATAAAATCTTATTACTGTGAACCATATTATTTTAGACATTGTGAAAAACTGGACATAGAATCACCTCCTTTTAGAGTTGTATGTGACTAAAACAATAAGTGTTTCCCAAATGAAACTGCAACACGTGGAGGCAGCAGAAGGTAACAGGCTTCCGAAGCACCATCACTGCATCCAAGATGCTATCATAGAATTTATTAAGTACTTACTATGCATCAGGCATTGTTCCAAGAGCTTTATGCAAACTAATTTAATCCTTACAATGATCATATGAGCTTGGGAGTATTATGTCTGCTTTATAGTGAAGTAAACTGGGGCACAAAGAAATTGTAACCTGCCATGGTCACACACGGCCAGCAAGTAGCAGGACCAGCGTTCAAACCCGGGGATCTGATCTGAGAATCTTCCCTCTTGACCACCGCACACACCAATTCTACTTTGCTAGCTTCTCGATGAAGGGCTTAACACTTGACTAATTTGCATAACTTTCTAAGATAATTATAGTTTTGATAATTAACTGAAAGTAGAAGTTCATCTCTTTATACACATTTGGATGGATCTAGAGACACCCGTCCCTGAGTTAGTTCAAACGGTGAAGCCAGCAAGAGGAGTGGCCTGGGTAGGTAATGCCTCCCTCCAGGGCTTCATCCAGAGAAGGATCAGGGGAGGCTCCTTCCAAATGCAAGCGGCAACGTGACTGATGCTCTGGAAGTCAGCAGTGTGGGTGACTATTTCCACATTGCTGTTTTAGTGAGTTTAACATATAGCACAGAGGTGCCTTGAGAATGATGGTTGGATTTCATAAATTACATTCTGCTATTCATGGGGAAGTCCCTGCAAAACTAAAGTAATAACATGCATGTAGAACTGTAATAATAATATTGTCTGCAATGCACTGCAAGGATGGGAAAATATAACAAATGAATAGAATAGTTTGTAATAAAAGAGCTGACAAAGAAAAAAAGAATGAAAATACCCCAACTTTCTGAATTTAAAAATACGTTAGGTGGAAAACCCATGGTAAAAAGTCCATAAAAATTACAGTGGACTAGTTCCATGTCAAATATAAGCCCAAGATGAAATCTAAGCAAAACAAGAGAAAATATTTTTCCTTTTCTTTTTCATTCAATGTAAAATACCCTTTTGTCCAGTCTAAGGTCAACCCTGCTCACCCTCTTCCAAGTGTGGGGTCCCATGATGTCTTACCTTCTGAGGAACACTGTAACATCTCTCCTCTGTCTCTCTCTCTTATATAGTTACCTCTCCTACTCTACTGGATCCTTCTCCTGACTTTTACACACTCTGAAGTTTATTACACTTTTACAAAACTTCTCTTACTGCACACAACCTTTCCAAGCATGGCCTTGTCTCTCTTCTTTTCTTCAGTTGTCTACTTACTGTCTCCATTTCTTCTCCTCCCACTTCATTTTCAACCCACTCTATCTAATCTTGCTTCTGGCCCCCTGAGTGATCATTTCTCCCCACAGTCACCAGTGACCCCTATTGCTAAATGCAATGGCTTTTTGTTGATCATGTCATTGGCTCTTCAGTGATGTTGGCTACTCCTGCCATCTTGAAACCTACTACCCTGGCTTCCAGCACTCACACACCCTGGCTCTTCCTCACTCCTGGCTCCCCCACGTTCCAGGCAGATTTGCTCTCCTCTATCTGGCCACCAAGGGCCCTAGTTCCATAAGATTCATGCAAAGCCCCTTGCTCTTCTCACTCCATGCTTCCTAGTCCACCTTCTCCATACTTCAGTTTCAAATACATTCTCAATGAAGATCACTCACACATTTATATGCCAGTCTCTGTGTTTCCTGTAAGCTCCAGACTGTTTCAAACTATCTGTGCAACACGTTTACTTCAGTGCCTCCAGTAAACCTCAAGGCAAACGTGTTCAAACCTAAATCTCAACCAGTTGTGTCCTTAACAACAATGGCAGCATCATCCATCTGGTTCCATAATCAGCATCATCCCTCTTCCCTCGTGTTCAACTAAGTAGCAAGCTGTAGAAATTTTGGGTTTTATTTATTTTGGGATCTGCTGAGTTATCTCTATCCCCTCGCCACAACCTCAGTTGGAACAACTTGTTGCTTGTGTAGCTGTGCTGTAGCCTCCCGCTGGTTCTGCAGCCACACTCTTCCCTTTCAGTCCCCCTCCACAAAGCAGCCAGAGTCATGTTTTTGAAAACCAAATCTGATCGTGTGACATTCCTTGCTTAAAACATTCCAGGGGCTTCTATTGCTCTTGGTAAAGTGAGAGATCCCTACATGGTCAAAGAGGCCCAGTGTGGTCTGGCCTCAGCCCCGTTTCAGCCTCAACACCATGTCCCCCACTTTTCCAGCCACACTGGCCTTCTTTCCAGAGCTCTGATCCATAGATTTCTTTTCCTGCCAGGGAGCTTTGCTTAGGCAGCTCCTTGGCTTTGAATAATGCTCTTCTCTCCCTGGCCTCACACTCAACCTTGACTCCACTGCTCACTGTTACTTTTTTTTTTTTTTTTTTTCTGAGACAGGGTCTCACTCTATTGTCTGGGCCAGAGTGCAGTGGTGTGATTATGCCTCACTGCAGTCCTTGACCTCCTGGGCTCAGGGGATCCCCCCACCTCAGCCTCCCAAGTAGCTGGGACTAAAGGCATGCACCAATCATGCCCAGCCAATTTTTTAATTTTTTGTAGAGATGGGGGTCTCACTATATTGCCCAGGCTGGTCTCAAATTCCTGGGCCCAAGTTATCCTCCAATCTCAGTCTCCCAAAGTATTGGAATTACGGGCCTGTGAGCCATGGCGCCCAGCCTGCTCACTGCTCTTAAAGCATCAAGTTGCAGATGCTTATTTCAGCTGTCACTCACATCTACATGTGTGATTATTCCATGAAAGTTAATTTCCCCTCTAGTCTAGACTATTGCTCTTTGAGAACATCAGCCACGTCTGCCTTTGCTTTCCACAGTGACTACTGGCTTAGTAAACAGTGGACATTCATATGAATAAACAAATGTATGAATGAAAGAAAGAACTAATCAACGAAGGGGACAAGCAGATTGTGAGCCAGAGAGTGCAAGATTGGTGGATGGCATTCTCTTTGAACTCCATCATGGAGCACAAGGCTAGGCCCACCTCCTCTAAGCAATAACACAGGTGGGACACAGTCTCGAACTTAAGAAAGAAAGTAAAAGAGGGAAGGGAGAGGAAGGTAGTAAAGCGGGTTTCCCAACCTACTTTAAAATGTAAATGCCCCAAAGAAGGAGGTGCATTGTAAAGTTCCTTCGAATAACTAACACATGAAATACCTGTGAACAACTCAGGAGGATTTAGGCAGGATGAAACTGTGTCTGCCATGTACCTTGTCATGTTTATATTACAGTTCCTTTAACACATGTTTGTACCTTGTTCTTTATATGCTTGTATCCTTCAACTAGACTATAAATTACTGGAAGGCAAGAACCATGATTTTTCTCCACTGGTATGTAGCATTTAAGTGACTCTGTTGTGCAGCATAGCTCAGGCATTCCTAAGTGGTTTTTGATGAATGACTTATAGATAGAAAAATAAATGAATGGATACATGGAGAGACAGGCATCAAAAACAAAAGCTCCCCACTTTACAACCATGTGGATGGATAAGAAGCTGAAACAGTATATACCAAAGGCATACCAGTACAGGGGAGCAAGCAATGGGCTAAGAATTAAAGATAATTATCTGCTCACCGGACTGTCACTTCGCTGTACTGTGAGTTCCTCAAGGGATGGCAGGGCCTTTTTTTATTTGTCCTTGTGCAGAGTGAACGTGAGCTCTCTTCTCATCCCCCTTAATGTAGTTACAGAACGAATCAAAGTCTAGACTAAGCCCTTGCACTAACGACTGGGGTTACACTTGGCTGGAAAAGCGTTGTTTCTCTGGACTGAAAATGAGAAAATAGCACCAGATGATCTCCAAGATCTTTTTCCCAGCTCTAACATTTGATGAATCCATAATTAACCATGTGAACAAGCAGAGAAAAGATGGGGACAGCCAGGGCTTAAGCAGTTGCACTAATCCCAGTGGGACACATATGACTTTGAAAAGCCTTCCATACCGCAAGTCATATGAGGTACTGCTAAGAATGGTAAAGGAACAACTGTAGTCCAACGCGGGCACTGGGCATCAAAGTCTCCCAATACATAACAAAGCACTATCAGGAACAATTGTAAAACGCAGGGGCCAACATTCGTGTTGGGGCGCCTGGCAGCTAAGGAGACAGTAATTCAAATAAAATATAAGCAGAACTTGAAATTGGATACGAGCACATATCAAATGTTTGTATTTTCAGGGTCTGTGGAAAGGATATTAAGCCATTTGACACAAATTTAAAATTATCCAATAACTTGTGTTATTGGGGTGGGGGGAAGATGCTTAATTTCTCCTAGAATTCATCTCCTTGAAAATTTCTATGACAGAAATCCAGTCATACATTTTGCTAACCATCTATCTAATTCTAGAAAAGATTAGTTCTTTGATGAAAAATTCTTATAACTTCCCTCCAGTTTATAAAACATAAATGCCATCATGGCTATGACAATAAAATGCTGTGCCATATACATTTCTTAAAGAGGCAATGTATGAGTAGACATGTAATGTAGTTTATGTAGTTAGGGTATTCTTGTGTATATTAGAGTGCACACTGGTGTACTCTTGGGAATAGAAGGGTACATTTGAATAGCTCAGTGGTCACCCCCTTGAAGTACCCATATGTTTTTGGAGTTTAGTTACTGGAGATAAAAAGTCTTGGAAAGATTATGTGTTAATGCTTCCAATCTCTGCTAAGTAATAACAATAACTTAATAACAGTAACAACCACCAATGTATATTGAGCAATTATTTTGTGCCAGGCACTGTTCTAAGTTCTCTTTTTTTTTTTTTTTTGAGACAGAGTTTCACTCTTGTTGCTCAGGCTGGAGAGCAATGGCACGATCTCGGCTCACCACAAACTCCACCTTCCGGGTTCAAGCAATTCTCCTGCCTCAGCCTCCTGAGTAGCTGGGATTACAGACATGCACCACCACGCCCAGCAAACTTTGTACTTTTAGTAGAGAAGGGGTTCCTCCATGTTCATCAGACTGGTCTTGAATTCCCCACCTCAGGTGATCCGCCCACCTCGGCCTCCCAATCTAAGTGCTTTTAATATGTTATCTTATTTCTAATCTTCACAACAATTATGAGGAAGGCATTTTTATGACTATTCCCCATGTCACAGAAGAGGAAATTGAAGTTGAGTAACCTTCTAACCAACATGGCTGGTGAGGGGTAGAACCAAAATTTGAATCTAGGCAATCTGCCTGCGAGCCTCCACTCTTAACAATGACTCAGAACTGCTCCTTTATAAACTACTGACCATAACGGAAAGTTTTACTGGAAACTGAGAGTTATAAAATTGAACATCAATTTTTGAAAATGCCTCTGTCCTCCCTTTCATATTCTCTGCTTTTAAGAACCGTTAATGCAGCCCAGGTTTTGTGTAGCTAAATGCATATACATCTCCCTGGAGCACTTATAAACCAAGACCCCTCTGAAGCCAGAACCTCATTTAGCCAGGGCAGAGGATGCCAGAACAACAGACTTCCAGGACCAGTTTCATAGTCACTGCCTTCCCGCATCTTCAGAGGGGAAACCTCTGGGTCTCATAATAAGTGGACTTCAGTGATCCTGTAACAGGAGGGCAAATATTTCAATGATTTCCCGCATCTGATCTTCCATGTCATTTCCTATTCTAAGCTTGATTGGTCAATCTAATCAGTGCAGCACAGTGGAAGAGATGCCTTCATTTCAACAAGCCATCTTTCATCTGGGTTTGTCCAGAGAAATTTAAACTCACAGGCCCTCGTTTAGATAAAGGCTTCCAGCTTGAAAGATACAAGGATCAGTCTTCTGAACTGTGAGGGGGGTGGAAGCTGAACAATAATAAAGGGTACTTTCTATTATTATTTTTTCTAAATACACATCCCACAAAAAGGGGATAAAGAGATAATAGTTGAAAAGAATTCACAAGGCCTTTATATATATTTTCACATATTGTGATACATATGTATATATACACAATGTATATACATATATGCATTACATAAGGATATGTAAAATATAAAATATTTTAGTATCTGTAAAATATCTGTATAACATTATTAAAGTATCTGTCAAATACAGATCAAAAGCCACTCAAGTGATACTCACTGGAGCACTAAGACATATACGGTATGGTTAGCCACCCACACAATTTTCATTCTCATTAGGACACACCACATGTATGCTTAAAACACCTGTGTCAAAGAACAAGGTTGGCCGGACACAGTGGCTCACACCCGTAATCCCAGCACTTTGGGAGGCCGAGGAGGGTGGATCACTTGAGGTCAGGAGTTCAAGACCAGCCTGGCCAACATGGTGAAACCCTGTCTCTACTAAAAACGAAAATTAGCTGGGTGTGGTAGTATGCGCCTGTAGTCCCAGCTACTCAGGAGGCTGAGGCAGGAGAACCTCTTGAACCCGGGAGGCGGAGGTTGCAGTGAGCTGAGATTGTACCACAGCACTCCAGCTTGGGCGACAGAGCGAGACTCTGTCTCCAAAAAAAAAACAAAGAACAAGGTTAAGGAGAAACATGGTTGAGAGTCAAGAGTTTGTTTAATGTCACTGCTCTGGTGCTCTGGGGGGTGGCAAGAATCACAAGGTAAGTAACAGTGAAGTGGACCCTGGAGCTCAAGCACATTACTCACTCAGCTTATTTCCTCTCCTCTACAAACACTTCCAATTCTAGGTTACCTGGTTACACTTCCAGTTCTTGGTTACCTTCCAATTCTAGGTTACGTGTGGCAGATGACATATTGGAGCCAGCTACAGCTGATGTGTGTGAGAGGAGGTCAAGGCTTCCACAGCAAAGCCAGTGACAGGTTGGCACAGATAGGAATTCTGGAGTTGGGGATAAAGAAGGCAAGAATCCACAACAACAAAGATGATGGCAACAGCAACAACACAGGGACCGTCCTCTTCCTTGTCTTCCATTGTACTTGGAGATGAAAGGAGAGTTTCCAAGAAAAATGGCGATACTGGTTTTTCTAGAGTGTTAGTGGTTCCCTAGGATGATACCCAACATACCTGGAGTTCAAGTCCAGTTTTCAGAGTAATAAGCCACAATCACTGCAAAGACAATTTAATCATTTCCCAACTGTTTTAAAGAACTGAGAGAAATTTTCTAACATTTATTACTTTATAACAGGGAAGTGAGTTATGTGTTTTGAAAACCTGGTCCATAAATACTCAGAGACAGAGATGGGGAAAGGAAACAACCAGCTGAGTTTTAAAAATGTTTAATTAGCACCTGTGGTAGGTAAAAGAATGATCCTCCAAAGACACCTACCTCCAATTCTCTGGAACCTGAGAAAATATTGCCTTACATGGCAAAAAGGACTGTGCAACCATGCCTAAGTTAAGAATCACGAAATGGGGAGATGTGTATTGTCTGGGTGGACACAACATAATCACAGGAATTCTTATAAGAGGGAGGCAGGAGGGCCAGAGTCAGAGGAGGAGATGTGAGGAAGGGGCCACAAGCCAAAGGATGCAGGGACCGCTAGATGCAGGAAACGGCAAGTCCACGGATTTTCCCCTAGAGCCTCCAGAAGGTGCCAGCCCTGCCAACAAGTCCGTTTCAGCCCAGTGAAACTGATTTCAGGCATCTGATCTGCAGCTGTAAAATGATCAGTGTGTGTTGTTTTAAGCCACTATGTTTGTGGTAATTTGTTAGGGCAGTGAAACTTGTACAGCTACTCAGTGCAGTGAAAGGTGGGATCCTGGACACAAAAAGGAATGAAAAAAAAATCAATCATGCTAAAAAGGATTACTGCTCAAACACCAAGGAAAGAGAGGTTTCTCAGACCACAAGCTGGAAGCTCAAGCTCTATAGAGTTTAAGGAAGACAAAATTTGGCTAGAAATTTTTTCTCAAGGAGAGAAAAGCATATACGGTGGACCCTCGAACAGGATGGGAGTTGGGGCCACCAACCCCTCACCCAGTCAAAAATTCACATGTAACCTTTGACTCCCCTGAAACTTAACTACTCATAGCCTACTTTTGACCAAGAGCTTTGCCAACAGCACAAATGGTTAACACATATTTTGTATGTCGTATGTATTATATACTATACTGCTACAATCAAGTAAGCTAGAGAAAAGAAAATGTTACTAAGAAAATAAGAAAATACACATTTACTATTAACTAAGTGGAAATGGATTATCATAAAGGTCTTCATCCTTGTCATCTTCACATTGAGTAGGCTGAGAAGGAGGAGGAGGAGGAAGAGGAGAGGTTGGTCTTGCTGTCTTAGGGGTGGCAGAGGCGGAAGAAAATCCACGTATAAGTGGGCCGGTGAAGTTCAAACTTGTTCAAGGGTCAACTGCAATTAAAAGAGAACCACTTCCTGACAGGATAGATACTGAAACCTCCCACCGAGGGGTCTCAGGTGCAGTGGTGTATGGGGCTCCCGACATACACAGGTAGTATGTAAATACCCCTAACACAGTCTTCCCAAGGCCTGGAATCCACCCTTGAAGAGTAGCAGGTCTTCGAGTCTTAATGCTTTTCGGTGTTACACTCATCCTTGTTGAACATTCAGTTAAACCTAAGGGGAAGGGCAGTATCCTAACCCCAGAGGCACTTGATGCAGTCCAAGCTATTATCCACAAAGGATGTATCAGGCTGAGAACATCTTTGTTTTTTTTGGAATAAATATTTTAAACATCAACTGCAGGAAAACATTTGTAAGTTCTGATTTAATCCCTCTAAGATGGTTATCAGTGAATACTGTAACAGAGATAATTGGAGAAGAGGCATCCGACCCCACAGTCTGCCAGGAGGAAACCCATGGATGTGGCAAGTAGGGTGGTCCAGAAAGGATGTTATGTCCCATTAAAGCAGACCACACTGACCTATGACCCGGCTGGGATGGGGCAGCCGTGGTTTCCACAGAAGGTCTCTGCTCCTGCTGCTCCTCTGTGGACGTAGGGCCCTAATGTGACTGGGGATTCCATGGTCAAAGGGTCAGGGCAGAAGCTTCTGAGAAACACTGCTGACTCTACTAGTGATGTCCTGATGCTGTCAGAGAACCCAGGGTGCCACTGATACTATACTTACACACAGCACCCATGCCAGCCAAACTCCAAGACTGCCAAGGACTGCCCAGCATTACGTAGGAAACTTCTGAATGTTCACAGAAACCAGGGTAGAGTCAGAGCAGGGAAAGGCAGCCTGCCCTTCTCCACTATCCTCTTCCCCGCACTCCACGAAGATGCAGCCTGCCCTTCTCCACTATTCTCTTCCCTGCACTCCATGAAGGTGAGCTTTGCTTTGGTGCATCCCCAGGGTCCAGAGGAGCATCTGACAGGTAACAGGCACTCACAATTGTTGAATGGGTAAATGAATCAATGAATGAAGGTTGGGGATGTGTTATTTTATAATTCCAATAGTGCAAATCCCTCAACTCATGTCTATCTCTTCCTGATCCCTGAAATGAGATGTCTTCCCCTCCGATCCCCCAGGAGGGGCCTGCTTGTTCCTCTCATACACCAGTCTCGTCAGACTTGTATTGTGGTCACTTAGTTCTTAGGATTTTCCTTTTCAAAATAAAATGCAAAAAGCTAAGGGCTGAGCCTGCTTTACTCGTCATTATACCCACTGCAGCTGGTCCAACGCCTTCCATGTAGTAGGTGCACAATAAATACTTGTGGGTCTGAATTGGTAAAACATTTTTTCTTCAATTCTTTTTGGAGCAATAGGGTTTGCATAGAAAAGCTCACTTGTATTACTGAGCAGATTACAGTAGATCAGTGTACTTTTTTGTTAAAATCAGGTTCATAATTACCCTGTAGTAGGAAGAACTGCTATAAAATAATAAGAGGATACTTCAGTAAGAGAATTCAGGTTCATTAATGTCTAAGGTTCTGCCAGAAATGAAAAGCGTTCTTAAATCAATTTATCAATATATAAACACTTGATATTAATGTAGATATATATGCATATATTTATGATTAGATTTACTGATTAATAGGCTTTCCCTATCTTTGACGTAAGAAGAGATAAAAATAAAGTGGCATATTGCACTGAACAAACGGCGTATGGCATGCTTTATAAATACACACACTTTGTCTCTCTCTCCTGCATACACACAAGCCCCAAACTCTGCCTTTCAAGATACTGGCCTCTTGCCCTAGTTGGAGGTGGCTAAAAGGAAACTCTTAGGATCCTGGACACGATCACTGCCTTACAGACTGTCTGGGGCAGCTCCCCCATTACCTGCAGCCAGGAGGGCACCTTTGCTAGCGCCTCGGGAGCAGTCAGACACTGTCACTGTCCCTTCCCACAGCCGCGGGAGGTGCTCTACCCACATTAGCTATGCCCCACATCTGGCCATTTGCTGGGCCTCAATCCAGGCACCCCACAAGGCCACGGACGGTAACAAGCGCTCATCAAAGGTCTCTGTCAACAGAATCCCCTGCTTTTCTGTCCTTCCCTGGAAGTTGGCAAGCGAGAAATGAAGGCCTGAAGGGCAGTCGGGCCATTCTGAGAGAGGTGAGCCATCAGCGGCTGCGCCGCACTGGGCCTTCATTTCTGCCTGGGATGGGAACTTGTCCTTTGAAAGAAAAAGGAAAGAGAAAAACTAACATTTACCGAGTTCCTAGGAAGATAAAACAGATTTATTTCATGACAGTACTACCAGGTATTTATTCCCTTCTAAAGTTTCGCTTTTATTTTTATCAAAGTTCTACTTGCACAGATTCGAAGGGTCAAATAATTCTCAGGACTTTTCCTGAAAGACAGCAGCCCCCATCCCCTATCCTGCCACAGTCTGCCCAGACGACCTACAGGAGACCTGTTTTCAACTCTTCTAGTTGGTTCCTTTGGTGGGTCTCTCTGTAGCTTTAAACAAGCTATTTTTCTTGCTACTTCTGGTTTGTTATTTGTTTTAGGCATTGCCTCTGTATCACCGAAGAGAAGCACTTAGCTCCTTCATGCCTCACATCTCCTGCCCATGCCTGTGCCCCTCCCGGATCTTCCTGATGTGGGCATGCGGAGACTCCTGTCAGATCCCCTTTCACACTGTTACCTGTTCAGGTCACTACTGAGCTCCACAGTAAACTAAGATGACTTCTTCTCTGTGCAACGTTCTGTTTCCCCCAGCTTTCCCAGCTGTGTTAACTTGTCATCAGCTTGGTTTCTCCTGTTGTCAAGGGGGTGAGGCGTGGTATGCTGGCTATGAGTGTGGACAGCCTGGGTTCAAATCTCAGTTTTGCCACTAACCAGCTATGCCATTTTAGACTAATGATTAAGCACTGAGTGCCTCAATTCCCTCACTGATAAAAGGAGGATAATGACTACCATCTAATAGGGCTACTATCAGGATTTAATCGTTAATACACACATGCTTAGAACTGTGTCTGACACACAATGAACACTCAATAAATAGAAGAGGCAATGGTTGTTATTAGGTTTGCAATTACTTAATCCTCTTGAAGTGTCCCTGAAGCCTTCAGCTCTGCTCCAGTCTGAACAGATCCCCCTCTGATGATGACCGCGCAGCTGAGGCTTTGGGATGGTTCTTGCCTTGCTTTTTTTGTTGCAACTCTTACTTCGTGGATCTTGTCTTAGCTTACTTCTCGTTTTGGTGGAAACACCTTGCTTTTATCATCTCCAGAGAATAAATCTCCAGACTTCTACCAAGATGAAGGCCTGTTGGTGATTGGCAGAGTGGTCCTTTTGCTACACGTCAGTGAGGAGAAAATCGAGGGTTCTGCTCCTCAAACACATTTTCAATCGACAGTCCTGTGTTAGCCCTACTTCAAGAGGAAGCTTGTACTACTAACTCCTGAATCTTTTGGGGGGTTTTGTAGTTCAAGCTGGATTGCTTCTTGATTGTTCCCCTGCCAACTTGGATTTCAGCTTTCTTGGGTCTACTGAAACCTAACTGCTCCACTTCTCCATCTGCTTTTCAGCTTCCAAAATTATGTTGCTGATGTCTCCTCTCCCCGTCACTTAGTCTCTAATTACTTTATACCTGAGAGGGAAAAAACCAAACCCTTTACTATTACTGTATTGAGAGGCAACTGAGGTTAAAGCTTATGTTCAATCTGCCATCTTTAATCAAAAGTCTATTAACCCTACATCTTACTGGTACAGTAGCTGAGGTACCACAAGAGGGTGAATAATTGGTGGAAGCTCGCAAAACCAGTAAGAATCAGAAAGTGAACTCAGGATCAGGTCAGCCTGATCCTAAAGTCCAACCCTTCCCATTGGAGCACACTCCCTCTCCAGGGAAACGTGGGGCCTCTTCCAGTAGGAATTGTTTATTGGAAATGTGTCCCACTTTGGCCAGGCAGGGTGGCTCATGCCTGTAATCCCAGCACTTTGGGAGGCTGAGGCAGGTGGATCATGAGGTGAGGAGATCGAGACCATCCTGGCTAACACGGTGAAACCCCATCTACTAAAAATACAAAAATTGGCCGGGCGTGGTGGCGGGTGCCTGTAGTCCCAGCTACTCGGGAGGCTGAGTCAGGAGAATGGCGTGAACCCAGGAGGGGGAGCTTGCAGTGAGCTGAGATCGCACCTCTGCACTCCAGACAAAGTTACTACAAAATGTCTTTACAAAGTCACCAAAGCTCACCATGCCGCAATTTGTTAGAGGGTTAATTTTTTAAATTATAATGGTGCTTGGTAAATCTCCTTGAATTAATGAGCCTTGCAGAATTATGGCTGATGTGAAAAGGTATATAGTTAGCATCTGTTTGTTCTGTGCATATATCTCTCTTCCATGATGTACATATATTTTAAGGAACATTTCTTTGGGTGCTTTTGAGACTCTGTCTCAAAAAAAAAAAAAAAAAAAAGAAATGTGGCCCACTTTGACATCGGTACCAGGATAACTACCATTAGACCTTGAAGATTCAGGTGACATCTCTCGGCCTACTGCTGGTACCGTGCCACATTCCATGTCCCCCTCCTGAATGCCCCTGCACTTTTGCTCCGTGAATTCTTTTAAAACCCCAGGCTCGGTCCTCTGACCTTAGTTAGAAAGGTTTCCTAACAGGAAAGAAAATGGGTCCGGCAGTGGGGCCCTTTCCCTTGCTTGCCCTATAATACGATTGTCACCTGAACCTTTCCCAATGATCAAAGTACCTGTAGGAAATCTAAGAAGCCCCTTCTCAGAAAAAGTCTGGGGTCTTTTTATCAAAAAGGCAATGAGAAGGATATTTTTAGGCCTCACTCACCAACAATTACTGCTTTCAACTCATGAGCAACCCTAGACCACATCTGCCAAACTTGGCCTGTGGGTCCCCATCAGTCTATCCTACACAGCCTAGCGGATAAGAGTACGGGCTCTAGAATCACATGGACTGGGGGTTCAATCCCAGCTTTGCCACTTACCTACTTGTGTGGACTGAGGACAAGTTACTCAGTTCTCTAAGCCTTGGTTTTCTCATCTATAAAATGGTAATAGCTGCAGTATTCACTTTATTGAGTTGCCATCAGTTTAAATGAGATATCGTATATTAAGCATTAAGTATAATATCTGGTCTGGTGCCAGGTAGGGCGAACACCACAGTATCCTTCACGGTGTTCCTGGGAATGAAGCCCCCAGCAGCCTGCACCCTCAGCTCCTGGCCCTGCATGTAAACCTCAAGGGTCACCAGAAGCTTGCCTCAGGGTTCCAGGGTTGCCCCCAACCACTCAAATCTTCCAAACAATGTGTACTGGGGACAGAAACTTTGGTTATGTAAAAGTTTAAAAGAGTGAAGTGATGCAAGCTACTTTAAGGATACCGGAGATAAATGATCTATTTATATTTTTATGGTGAAGACATAAATAGAAAAAAACACAGCACCCAAAGAAATGTTCCTTAAAATATATGTACAGCATGGAAGAGAGATATATGCACAGAACAAACAGATGCTAACTATATACCTTTTCACATCAGCCATAATTCTGCAAGACTCATTAATTCAAGGAGATTTACCAAGCACCATTATAATTTTAAAAATTAACCCTCTAACAAATTGCAGCATGGTGAGCTTTGGTGACTTTGAAAAGACATTTTGTAGTAAGTCTGTCAAAATAGAATAATGAGGAGCTCCTAAATCCCAACCTTAACTATTGACCCACAGACATTATAAATTACAGGACAATGTTGTTTTATACTGTATTCATTCATTCAACAACTATTTACTGAGCGCCTACTAAGTGCCAGGCATTGTCTGGGCCCTGGGGATGGAGCATGCACAATGGAGACAAAATCCTTCTTCCCACAAAAGGTGTTTGCCAGTGAGGGGAGAGGGGCACCAAATGTGCTAATACGTAATATTTTTATATAACTAAAAATTACTATAAAAATAGTAGTGGAATTGAATTACATACTTCAAATAAAGAGAGTTGGGTAACCCAAAAATCTAGCCTTTGGATTTGAATCCTATGAAGGGTAGATGGAAAGAGAGAAAGAAAAGAGGAGAGAATAAAGGGGAAAAAAAGAAAGCATCAGAAGGAAGTGAAGGAGCTCTGAGGCTCATGAAATAGGAACCCAGGAAGGACCCTCACCTAGAGACCCTGGGTCCAAACACCCTGGTTTCCTCCCTTCACCCTACAGGGAATGGATCCCCAGTGCAGGGAGAGGGAGGCCCCCTTTGGGTCCCACTCAGGATGCAGAGAACCCTGACATGCAGCATCCCAGGTAGGGAGAGAAACAAGCTGACCAAGGGGAGTTGATGGGGTCACAGACGACATGGAGATCTGGGGGGACCCTGTATTCTTGCCAGTAAGTGACAGCAGAGACTGAGGGCTCCACGTAAGACGCCAGCCCTGTTTCTGAAGTTTGAAAAGGTGCTGATGTTGGCAAATGGGCAAAGGAGGCCGGCTGGCTGCTAAAGGACATGAGGCTACTGTGTTTAACTTGAGGAATGTACTCCCATTTGGAGTAGGTGACTTCACTGAAGGGAAATTCTCCGGAATTATCTTAGGTCTTGTGGACTATGCACAAACCAAACAAAAGTATATTGATTTACAGTGAGAAACTTAACTGTCATTGAGTCCAGAAGGCAGTGTGCCTGGCACTTCATGTATATTAATTTATTTAATTCTCACAAGAACCTGAATGCAGTAGAAAATATTATTACTTCCATTCTACAGATCAGGAAAGTGAAGGACAGAGAAATGAAAATAATGGTGAGTGAATACCGAGCTGTGATTCAAACCACGGTGATGTGGCTCCAGATTCCATACCCTTAACCATTGGGTTACGTGCTAATTACAGGAGATGAAAAAAGGAGGAGGATTTAGAAAGCGGTTTGGGTCACTGGGTATGTGGTATCATGCACTGATGATTCTGTGCAAGTTAAAGCATGTGTTTGCATTTAACCTGTCTTTGTTAGTCCTTTCCCCATCACCACGTTTTATTTTGAACCTGTTTTGCTCTGTTGATTTCAAGGTGTGGTGCTTGACATATAAAACACAAGCTTCTCTTACCTCTGAATGAAGAAGGCAGTGATTTGGGTGAGTTTGACAGAATAAGTCATCTATCTTCCATTTTGATACAGAAATCCTAAGTGATCAATCAGTTGTCAAAACTTTTTAGATAACTCTAATCAATATTTAGGCAGGAAATGTGCCTTCCAGGCCCAGGCTGGTAAAAGTGAACATGCTCTACCTTTCCTAGCTCGTGTTAGTTTCCATTTTATTTTGAGGACATGGCTGATTATGTTAAATTCTAGTTTTAGTTCCATGTCTTCCTTCTCACCTTCTCAGCCCTAATCTTTGGACCAATGCAGTCAACAAACATATTCTGATTATCTGGTATGTGCCAAACTACACTAAGGGAACAGAGATGAAGAAGACATTGGTTCCCCCAGGAAGAGAGGCGGGAAGGTGGAAGGAAGCAGGAAAAGGCAGATAGGCCTAGAATCAGACTCACTACTTGAGATGGGATGAAGGTGAAGACCCTCCCTGACAAAAGAGTAGTAAGCAATAGCAGACAATTCTACCTTTACCGTTGGTGAGGAACACAACAAAAAACAAAACCAAAAATACATTTGGGCCATTGTTTTCATTCTCCTGCTCCTATGCCTTCAACTAGGAGCTTGTCACAGCTGATAATAAGCAAAGGGGACATGGAGGGGGTTCATCTCACCTTACTAGATATTCTCTGATGAAAATCTTTACAAGGAGCTAGGAAAAGCAAAATATAGTTGGTCCTCCATATCCATGGGTTCCATATCCATGGATTCAACCAACTGTGGATCAAAAATATTTGAAAAAAGAAAAAGATGGTTTGGTCCATACTAAACATGTACAGACTTTTTCTTGACATTATTCCCTAAACAATACAGTATAATAACTATTTACATAGAATTTACATTGTATTAGGTATTATAAATAATCCCGAGATGACTTAAAGTATACAGGAGGATATGTGTAGGTTATATGCAAATACTATGCCATTTTATATCAGGGACTTGAGCATCCCTGGATTTTGGTATCTGCTGGGGGTCCTGAAACCAATCCCCTATGGATACCAAAGTCCAACTGTAGTTATAGCGAACAGATTCATAATCCACACCCTACTAGGCATTCTTTTAAAAACCCCTCCTCTTTTCAAGAGTAGAGGAGCCGTGAAATCCAAGGCCATCACGCATAGACCACAGACCGGCAATGCTGGAGTGGACCATGAGACTGTGTGAGCCCACTGCCCTCACTGCACAGGTAGGAAGCAGGTTCACAGAAGCTGAGTGACCTGTCGAAGGTCACACCACAGCTCGTTCGTCAGAACCACTACAGCCTGCATATAATCTTCTCTAATCTAATTCTCACTGCAATATTATAGCCTGGATATTAGAGCAGCATTAGATATACTCGGAAAACAGTGAGAGGCCATGGGAGTAACAATGTCATTAAAGTCTTAATTAAGGACACACGGTGACCTCAAGCAAATCTCACCATTTTTACCCTGTATCTCCCTGCTGCTCCCTCTCTTATCTCCCTGCTGCTCCCTCTCTGTCATGTCAGTTCTAGCTTCTTATTCTAAGAAAACTCATCCTTATCTCACTCCACCAAACCATACGAGACTTACACAGAAAAATGCCCCTTCAGTCCTAAAAACAGGATGGCTTCCTGGCATCATTCTAGTCCCTACCTCCGTTAAACTAAGTAAAAAACATGTAAAAATGCCTCACTCTTTGAAGGGAGTGTGAGACAACCAATTGCCACATGGCACTAAAAATGGTAACACTGAAAAGGTTCTTTGTTGAAATGCATGGCTTATTTATCCTATAGCCTCTGAAAACATATGAGGCCCGTGCAATTACTTTTAATATTTCACCCATGCCAATCTGTCAAAGCACCACGTCAACTGAATGCAGCCGGCTGTGCCAGACAATACATTTGCCAAGACAAAAGCAGGATTCGACTGGACCCAAGCTCCCCCAGTTCTCAGGGCAGGCCACCTTCTTAAATCTGACAGCCTCCACATGCACCAGCTTCATTTTTGCAGCAGTTCATGCACACAGAGGAAGTTTCAGAGGATGGAGAAGCGGGAAAATGGCTACGTGGCCCTGAACAAAAGGCACATCTGCTCTTCTGCATGCATTTTCGTCATTCCTAAATGAATCTGTGAAACCTGGCCCGACTGTGTGTGGGGACAGAGGAGGAGCTTGGCACTCGTCCCTCATCCCTTAGGGTTTGTTAATCTCTTTACACTGTCTTCCAAGGTAATATTCAAATCAACCACACAGCTCAATTTACTTTGCTTGTGACTCTAATTGAATAAATCTAAAATAACAACAGACGCACTGGCCCAGAGCCTTGGCCAAATTTTTCCTTAGACACTTAAAGCACATTCTGGCTGTTTTAATTCTGCCTGCAAGCAGGTAAATGCACTCTTGTCCAGTGCCTAATTTTACACCAGAGGGAGAATGACTGTCATTCTGTGTACTGTTTCCAAGGTGGCTAATATTTACTGATGGGTAGAAGCTTTGCAGAAGTAACCCAATAAAAACTTAAGCACCCTTGAAGGTGGGGAGAATATTCTCATCCAAGTTGGTTAGCTGGCCTTTCACACAAAGATGTTTAATAAGGTACTATTCTGTGCCTGCATATCACTTCTTCAGAATCATAAGTGCTGAGTCGGCTCTGAGAGTTTGTTCAGTCTCTTTTCTAGGTTATGTTTAGGTGAGTCTTCAATGATCCTGAGTGTGCAGCTATTCCCATTTGTAAACGTATCCAGAGAACAACTGCTCTAATAAGCCTGCCACTCATTCTAGTTTCTCTCAATCCTTTTGGAGAGGGTAAGAATTTTAAAAACTGGATCATTACCTACTAGGGGTAGGAATGCAGGCTGAGCCTTAGGAACATGGCACAATAAGTAAGCAGCCAATGATAGTTTAGAACAGGTAGGTCAAACTTCAGAATGTCCAAGCTTTCCTCTGGGGCACATCACCTAACAAGAATGTTTTCGAGGTGACTCACGCCTGTAATCCAGCACTTTGGGTGGCCAAGGTGGGCTAAAGATGCTGAGTATGTTTTTAAGGTCATGAGAGTAGATCTGCTGGCATTCTTGCAGCTGTCTGAAAACAAGGGTTAAAAGGAAACAACAGGCCAGGCACGGTGGCTGACTCTTGTAATCCCAGCACTTTGGGAGGCCAAGGTGGGCAGATTGCTTGAGCTCAGTTCAAGACCAGTCTGAGCAACATGGTGAAACTCCATTACTACAAAATGCAAAAGAAAAAATAGCCAGGCGTGGTGGTGCGCACCTGTAGTCTCAGCTACTTGGGAGGCTGACATGGGAGGATGACTTGAGCCCAGGGAGCTTGAGCTGCAGTGAGCTGTGACTGCAGCACCCAGCCTGGGTGACAGAGTGAGACCCTGTCTCAAAAAAAGAAAAAAAAAGCAAAAGAAAAAAGAAACAACAAACATGACTGGCACCTCTCCAAGAAGGGAAGGAAACTGCCAAGGATGGCTGCGCTATGGCTAGGTGGTGATGGTGCTGTGGCAGTATCTGCTGTCTTAATGACAAATGAAGACACCCCCAGAAGCGCAGGGCCATCACAACAAGCATGTCTGTTTCTCAGTGGGCAAGAGTGTTCATTACATCTGCATCCAACATTTATCAGAGTTTGGAAACTCTTTCTCGTGGGTACAGTAAATGCCCCAGCAAGCACTGTCAGGCCAAAAGCCTCTTCTAGCTTCTCTACAGAGACCAAATGGCCTTCACCTTCTCAATAAGTCTGCCACACACTTGACCCTAGCCCCTCCTCGAGTTTTTCTTCTAGGTAGAATTATTCCAAGTCTTTCTTTCCCTTTTCCAGGCCCTAGTGTCTCATGAAGCCCAGGTACAATGAATGCTCAGGCTGGTAGACTGTGGATCAAGCAGTTTACCCTTGGAAATTGGCTCCAAACCACTGGGAAGTCTGGTCAGAAGGTGTAGTCTTAGCAACCCAAACCCCCCTCCAGTACAGAGCACCTCTGAAGTCAACCTCATACTTCAGTGAGAGCCAGCCAGTTGCCTTATCTTTGTATATAAGGGTAGCATGTGATAAGTTACCTTAACGTGGCTGCTAATACCACCACTGATGCCCAACACAGTGAGGAAATGTTTACCGAGTGAATGAACGAATGTCGGCATCACTCCCTGGAGCAGACCTCCATGCTTATTCAGTATCTCACAGCCTGCACGTTTTGGCTCCTATCTGAGGTTTTTCTCCTTATATTCGTCGTCTGCCCTTCTGAGCCCACATCTTGTTTCTAATCACAGCTCAGAGTGAAGCACGTGTAAGGTAATTACTCCTCAGTGTGCTGTGGCAGCGCTCATTGATTAGAAATCGTTTTCACAGGGAACACTATAACAAGGAGTTTTGATCAAAGGTGGATTATTATTTCAGTTCTTTGCCTCACCCACGTACATTTGCTCCCTCCTCCTGAAAGAAAATTTGTGCGTGTGAAGACAGATCCTAAGGGAGACAGGAATTTTTTTAGAATGAAGCTATTTATTTCTTTAAGTAATCGTAAGTAAATATTTCTTTAAAATAAATTACTAATCAAGCTTTTTCCTGAAACTCATGCTCTGAACCCATAATGTCGTTCTCTTTAAGCTCATCTCTCTGGGAAGAGGCTGTGTTCACGTCCAGATGTCCTGCATTGCAGGGCCAGACCCAACCACAGCCAGCGTGAACACGCTTCAAGGCTGCAGGGGACTGGGGTATCAGGATCCAGTGGGCTCTTCGAAGACATCAAATGGTCTGTGGAGATTTGATGAATCCAGCGAGTTTACTTACAGGTCCTGTCTTTCTGTGCCTGCCCTAAGAGTGGACTGAACTCAAAATAACGAGCAACTACAGCACACAAGGCATTTCAAGTGTGTCCTTCTTTGAAGTTGTTTACAGCTGTATACATCATTCTCTTATCGAATACTGGAAAGCAGGCATCTAAGGTCTGCAGCAGAAGCTGAGGTGAAAAGCACAGGAGGAAGTTCAATTTTTTTTTTTGACATTTAAAAAATCATCTTCCATTCTTCTTCCTGAGATGCTGGGTTAGATTCCATATGCAAGAGGGAAGACAGGGCATGCTCTGATGTCAAGTCTCAATGACTGCTTTAGATGGAGAAAGAATAACTCAAGACATTCCAAAAGGTTTTAAAATTACAATTTTTTTTTAGTAACATTTTTACCTTGGCATAAGGTATCATTAGTCCTTAATCCAAGCAATCAGAAAGCTTAGACAAGAAACTTAACAAAAAAGTCCTATTGGGGATTTACAGTGCTCAGAAGAGCACTTCCCATGGATTGTCCTGGATCAATGTAGCTCAAGCTTAAGTCTATCACTCTACCTTTATAGTGCCCTAGAGAAATAAACCTATTCCTCCCAAAATGATAAGCTACATGCGTCTAAAATATGTATTGTGTATGCAGATACATATACACATATGCATGTGTTATAATACACACATACAGACATACACACACACATACAGACACACACAAATATACACATACATATATGTATGTATGCACCTATGTAGTATTAGTGTGAGTCCTTGGCTAAGGAGATCTTATTCATTCAGTGAATATTCTAATTGTGCAAGCATTATGGTAAGTACCAAGGATAACATCAACAGATTTCCTACCCTCAAGGAGTTAACAGTCTAGTGAGAGGGACATAAAGTCAGTAAGTGTCAAACAGCAGCTTTCCGATGGACCTACATGTAGGTACGGTGACCACCAAGGATGATGACCGTGGAGAACAGGGGCATCATGAAAGCTTTTCTAAAGAAGTAGCCTTGAGAAGCATCTTAGAGGTGTTTGCCCAGAGGCCTCGGTGTATGAGATCTTTGATACATGGTTATCTTTGATATCCTGCTCTTGGTATGTATGGTAACTTATCAATAACAATTTGGGGTATGCAAACATCTTCTATATTAGCTCAAAGGGCTGACATCAATCCTGAGTTTCATTACCTGCCCTTGGCATCCAGTGAATGCAGCCTAGGTGCTTTCCTTAGAACTGTGGACATGTGAGGCTGGGCACAATGGCTCACGCCTGTAATCCTAGCACTTTGTGAAGGCGAGGTGGGCAGATCCCCTGAGGTCAGGGGTTTGAGACCAGCCTGGCCAACATGGCAAAACCCTGTCTCTACTAAAAATACAAACATTAGCTGGGCGTGGTGGTGGGCACCTGTAATCCCAGCTACATGGGCGGCTGAGGCAGAAGAATCACTTGAACCCAGGGGGTGGAGGTTGCAGTGAGCCAAGATCATGCCACTGCACTCCAGCCTCGGTGAAAGAGTAAGACTATGTCTCAAAAAAATAAAATAAAATAAAATAAAATAAACTGGGGACACGTGAAACGGATAGTGCAGTTTACAGAGTGCAGGTTCACCAGAAATGCCTGGTGAACTGAATCAGTTGGTGCCCTTGCCTCTCAGTGGCCCTGTGATGGCATACCACTGTGAGCAAGAAACACACCCAGGGAAGTGAAGGGTGTTCTGAAAATAAAGACAATGTTGCAGAACAACTGTTTGCTATTCTCACAGTACTCCTCTTCCCCAGAGGATGACAAGCTGGCCTCCTCTCCAGCCTGCACTGGGAGGCTTTGTCAGGAAAGCTTTGCCATTAGCATAGCCATGTCAACCTAAAGGGAGAAACTGAGGCAAAATCAATAAGAGGGGAGTTGATTAGGGCCAAGATAAGAGCTTCTTAGAAGACTCAGACACAAGTAACCTTGGATATGAATTCCATTTGACCCTTGTTACAAGCAGGATTTAAAAGCCAAGAAAAGGGACAAGGAGTGGGGTGTCAGAAAGGTGTTTGTCAGGAATTCTCATTAGTTTACAGAAATAGCATTGATTAGTGATTGGCTATATGCAGTTGAACTATGTGGTATGGGTCAGGTGTCTGGTGTGCAGTATTGTTAGGTTAATTTGTGGCTACTTGTGACAAGTCGGCCTAGAGGCCGCATAGCAGGCGGCTTCGAGAGATGATTAATTAGCTCAAAAGGGCAGTGGGATGTGGCCGCTGCCTCAATCCCATGCCTCTCTGGGCCTGATAATTTAGAGGTAGCTCACGTTCCTCAGACAAAATGTTTCTTTTTCTTCCTCAGTAACTATGTGAGCAAACCAGGCCTCCAGTCTGTTATAGGGACCTAGAAGGAGTAACATTTAGGTGCTCCAACTCGGGGGAAGCTCGGGCTGGGAGTGGCCAACTCGCAGATTTAGCTTCCGTGTTTGCCGTGATATGAAGCCAATTCAGATCTGCTGCATCTCCTTTAATCCTGCCATGACTGCTTAATGGCCGTGAGACCTTAAACCCGTAAGTCAGACGCTCTGAGCCTTGGTCCTCCCACAGTACCAGTACATAATACGGGACCTCATACAGAATGGGCACTCAATGGCATGTGCAAGTACGTGTGTACACGTGTGCATCCAGGCATGTGTGCGCGTTTTCTCAGGTACACACACACACACACACACACACACCTGACAAAAGTTCCCTCAAATGATTAAAGGAAAAAGGGACTTGAAACACACACACTCCCCCAAAAGTTAAACATTATCTTGGGAATACAACTTTTACAAGCTCAGTGCAATAACGGAACAGATATGGCAAAATGGATCCCGATGTTAAAAAAACGTTTTTCCGAAACCCACCAGATGAGCTGAGAATTTACTAAAGAGACCACTGAGGAAAAGCAGGGGACCCACTTGGGGCACTAATGCTCTGAAGTGAGTGGAATAAAGCAGGTCACTCTTCAAAGACCTCTGGGTTCCAGCCAATGCCCAGGATGTGACAGGCAGCAACAGGGACCCCAGCACAGAGGCACTGACCCCATCTTCAGTGGTAAGCAGCCACTGGTCATCAACGAAGTGTTGTAAGTACAATAGGACACTTTTCAAGCGCTTACACTCAAGAGCCTCGCTTGGCACTGTTCTTAGCTGACTCATTTGCAAATAAAGAACAAATGTGGATAGAAGAAGAGAGGAAGGTAGGTCTGATTCCCCAGTTTACAACAGAATATGGCCTTTCCCAGGCACCAGAGTTTCCCATAGGGCATTTATGCAAAGGACCCCATGGAAACACACCCCTCTACTTAAGCAAGAGAAATCTACTTCTCATTCTTGAAAATCCCCAAAGGTATCCTGAAGATATCTGTCATGATTCCCAGATGAGTGCCTATCTTTAGGAGTTCTTTTAAGTACAGGGTGTAAACATGGTAACATTTCATATGCAAATTTCAAATAATCACTGAGAACAATATGGCTTCTGGTTAAGTGGTAACTCCCATGATGGGACTTGAAATGCAAAGGCAGAGAGACTGGGCCCTGGCACTGGGAATATGCTGGCCACCGAAAGGCTGAAGAAACACATGTCAAAATGAAAAATCCAGTACCTTGCTTTGAAATATGTGGATGTACGTTTAAGCACTTCAACTCATTTTAGACTTATAATACTGCTTTTAAGGTAGGGTTATTACATCAGTGGCTCAGAGAGGCTAAGTAACTTGTCCAGATGAGAGAGAAGCTGGGGTCAGAACACAGGTCTCTTTCTACTACATCAATCAATTTCACCGTACATGCATTTTAGAGAAATATCTTTAAGACAGAGACTTCATCTTGTAGTTGACAGGCTATACAAGTTGCTAGTCAGTTATGAGTGCTGCTATGAGCAGCTTTAGAGTGCCTGCCACCTCCAAGGCCCCTGTACAAGTCTGTGCTTGGACCTCATCACCAGGGCTGGGTGCCAGGCATTCAGCTGTGAGTGGCCTGAGCTCTGCCCAGTGGAGGCCCCTATCCTGGTGGTGGCTCTATGGACCAATCAGATTCTCTCGCGCGAGGAAACTGAACATGCCACAGACAGTCGTCAGGAGCAGCAGGGTCCACTGAGGGAGGCCCCGTCAAGTGCCCAGACCCCACAGCGGTTGAGCCACAGCCGGGGGGATGGGAACAGGCTTCCTGGAATGCTAGCAAGGCAGCCTCTCCTGAGAGTCCTCAGTTTTCAGTGAGGCCTGCTCTGAGAAGACTGGGATGGTTTTTGTTTTTTCTTTTTTGTTTTTTGAGACAGAGTCTCGCTCTGTCAGGCAGGCTGGAGTGCAGTGGCACGATCTTGGCTCACTGCAGCCTCTGCCTCCCGGGTTCAAGCGATTCTCCTGCCTCAGCTTCCCAAGTAGCTGGGACTACAGGCACGTGCCACCACATCCGGCTAATTTTTGTATTTTTAGTAGAGATGGGGTTTCACCAAGGTGGCCACATTGGTCTGGAACTCCTGACCTCAGGTGATCCACCCGCCTCGGCCTCCCAAAGTGCTGGGATGACAGGCGTGAGCCACTGCGCCCGGCCCGGGATGGTTTTAAGTCTCCCCTAACAGCTTGTATATTCTCTCTGCAAGCCTCCAGTACCTGTAGTAGCTCTTTTCATTGTAACTTAGCAGAGCCAAGCATATCATTGTTTAAAAGTACTGTATTAGAATATAGGATCAGAGAGTGACTGGACAGCACCATCTTGCAGTATAAGGCACAGCATCCCCAGGCAGAAGTCGCTGTTCCAAAAGGGCTCTCCTGGCTTTCATCACCCACCTTGGACGTCAGATGGACTGAAATTTATGGCTATCCATAAAAATCCCTGGAGGCATCTGTTATGGGTTGAACTGTGTCCTCCCAAAATTCGTATGTTGCAGTCCTAACTGCCAGTATCTCAAATGTGGCTGTATTGAGAGACAGATAGGGTATCTAAAGAGATAAGAGGTCATTAGGGTGGCCTAATCCAATCTGATTTGTGTCCTGATAAGAAGTGGAGGACACAGACACATACGGAGCGGGGATCATGTGAGGATACAGGGAGAAGACACCATCTACCAGCCAACAAGAGAGGCCTCAGGAGAAATTAACTCTGCCCACACCTTGATCTTGGACTTCCAGCCTCCAGGACTGTAAGGAAATAAATTTCTGCTGTTTAAGTCAGTCTGTGGTGTTTATTATGCAGCCCTAGCAAATTCATACATAAGTCTTCAAGTTGGGTTTTTATGAAAAGAAGAGGCTCACAAGTGATTAAATCAATACGCTGGAAGCAACATAGAAATTTGGTAAGAATATGGTCCTGGATTTTGACTGCTGAGGGCGATGCTGTCTCTGTCACTTACAGGCTGTGGCTCCCTGGGCGAGCTGCTTTACCTGTGGCCTCATAAAGGAAAGGCAGCCAGGAACGCTGCACGGGTCATGGGTGTGGTGAAGGCGTAGTGATGCCCAGGCGTGCAAAAGCCTTGGCATGGTGCTAGAGCCTGTGATCCTTGTCCTCAAGAAAGATTTGCTTTTATTTTTACCCAGTTAATCCAGATGCCATCAGATACAACTACCTAGTTGTGATATGTGGAAGATGAAGCTCTTGGTATCTAAGGCCTCCTCACCAGGAATGGTTGGAGAGCCTCGTCTGACTTGGCAATTGGAACGCTCCCTGTCAGCTCTGGGTTCTCTTCTCTGCAAGTCAGGAGCCTCTCACGCCACTGAGGCCGGGAGGGCTGTATGCATCTATTCGGCTCTGGATCCTGGTTTCTTCCTATGCTCTTGCCTAAAGCCCCCTTCAACTGAGAGTGTTTATGGAAAACAAAGAGCTTTGCTTCTTCTCGGAATGTTCTATGGACTTCTTGCCATCTGGTGCCTGCAGTGGCGTTTCTCCCTGTGAGGCCCTGGGGCACGCTGTGCTCACTACCTGAGGTCCCTTTGCCGCACCAGCTGCTTCTGTCAACGTAGTGGCTCAGGGAGAGTAACTCAATGATCGAGGTGGACACTTAGGCTAATGAAGAGGCTCTCAAGGGACAGAAACAGGACACCTCTGTGCTCCCAGGGTGCCTCTGCTGAACTCCTCGGGGCAAGTAGTGGAAAGCTACTCCTGGTGGCTTGACCAGGTGGGGAACTTGTTTCAGAAGCCAGCAGACGAAGGCGAGGCACAGAAATGGGGACTTCAATGTCCTCTGGACTCTCTCATCTCCCTTCTCTGCCTCCCTCTGAAGGGAAACTTGCTTCTGCTCTCTGCAGACTGCCATTCTTTGCCTTGCTGCTGCTCAAGGCAAACAGACAATGTGGAAAGTGACTGTGGAATGAAAGACTACCTCTATCATTGCCAATTGTAAATTCCTTCGTGGGTCAAGCATCTGTCCGGGTCCAATCAGCAGAGACTGCAGGGTAAAAGGATGCCTCACTGCACAAAATGGCTGCCAGGGCCCACAGTTCTGGATTGGGAGGGAGAAGCAGTTGCTAGCAAAGGGGGAATCACCGGGAGCTGGGTGGACACCCCAGACAGCGACCGTACACTGTCAGGCCTTCGCTGCAGAAGCTCAGGTTCTGTAATCAAATTTTCTCAACCCTGCTATCACATAGAGGGAACTTCACAGCGATTTTTCCTTTTAGTCTTCCTTAGAAGAGTTGCTCATTTTGTTAGCAATAACCAGTGTTATAATTTCATTTAGAACTTTAAATTTGGGGATGCTCATTAACATCTCCAAAGAGAAATGCTGATTAAAAAAAAAACAAAACCCTATTACACTTCTTTAAAGCGCCACTCCCACAAGAAACACAACTGCTGTTTGTGAATGAGTATAGCGGTGCTATTCTAAAACAGATGTCTAGTAGCTTATGTGTTTTGGAAATTTTTTTTACCATAACATTTTTTTTGAAATACCAATAGATAATACAAAAGTGTCATATCCTAGAAATATGGCTGACATCTCTTATTTCATGAACACTGACAGTGACTGCTTGGTATTTGCTTCCATCATCAAATCAGCAGCTCACTGAATTCCAAATGCAAATACAAAATGTCACATGCCTTCTGCAGGCTCCCTTTGCCATGTAGACTCCATGGGGTGGGCTTCGGGCCTAAATCAAAACCTGGGGAAACAACGACATGAGGCCTGGCCAGGCTGCACGTCTCATCCAACGCCACCCTGCACACAGAGGGGCTGGGTGCGTGTTCCGATTCTGCCATTTTCTACATGGGGCGTCCTTCTCATTTCCTCTACCTCACTTCCCCACCAGCACATGTGTCACCTGCATCCTATAACACTTACTGTGCATAAAAAAAGAAACAAAAGTATATTGCAACTTTTTTCCTTAAGGTGTTAAAAAAATTTCTTTTTCAGATCTTAAAAACCCACCAAACTTTTATTCCCAGCTTGTGACATCTTCAACCTGCTTTATTATTTTTTCCTCTTTTTTCTATCAAAAACAATTAGACCTTAAGAAAGTAATTTTATTGTTTGGAGTAAATTATCATCAGCAACTAGGTGCCTATTTTGAGCATGGGCTTAACTAGAGTAAACATAAAACACAAAGTTTGCTCATTAGAAACTTGGCTGTTCTTTGTTTGTATTTAATGCTTGTACTTAATTACAATTAGTTTTTCCCAGAGGAAACTCACCATTAGGATGTAACCAGCACCATCAACAATAACACTTACTGGACACTTGTTATGCACCAGGCAGTGCAAAATAACCTTCTAAGGTCGGTTCACTGTTAAACCCAAAGATAAGAAATTGACGCTTAGAGAGGTGAGTAACTTGCTCGAATGGTTCCACGGCCAACAAGTGGCAAAGCCAAGACTTGCACTCAGGGCGGCCTCTAAAGCCAGTGCTGTAGCCACTACTCTACAAAGACTTCATATTCCATTCCTTCCAGGACACATTAAGAAATAAGAGGGAATATGACAAAAACTACATTGTATAGCAACTGCAAGACAACTGAACTCCAGAAATCATGATGAAAGCTCAGGAAATTGATCAATCTGCCCGTGGAATGATTTAGCTGGGTCGAAGGGCACACAGAGGCTTTGCATTCCAGTTACTTCTGGCTACACTGTGGCCTCCAAAAAAGGGACTAGGGGATTGCCACGTGGGCTACTCTGCTCTGAAATGAGAGTAAGGCTATCTTTTGCTAAGAATAGGAGCACAAGCAAAACAAACCACAAATGAATTGCTTCATATACAGCTGGTACCTAAAGTACTATTTTAAAAATTGAGCAAGGCCTGGCATTGTGGCTCATGCCTTTGGGAGGTGAAGGTGGGAGGATAGCTTGAGCCCAGGAGTTCGAGCCCAGCCTGGGCTCTCAAGCCTGGGCAACACAGCAAGACCTCATCTCTACAAAAAAACCAAAAAACAAAAATTAGCTGGGCATGGTGGTATACACCTGTGGTCCCAGCTATTCAGGAGGTTGACACAGGAGGCTTGCTTGAGCCCGGAAGGTCAAGGCTGCAGTGAACTGTGATCATACCACTGCCCTCCAGCCTGGGTGACAGAGCGAGACTCTGTCTCAAAAATAAAAATAAAAAAATTGAGCAAAATAATTGGTTTTGTATCTTTTGTAAAAGATTCACTTATTGTAAATTATCTGTCCTATAAATTGTATCAGGAAAGCTGGTTAACTGTTTAGAAAAATAAAAGTTTGATTCTCTCATCTCACAATATCTTAATAACAATTCCAGATGGAACTAGAAAAAAATGTTTAATAATAAACAACTTAAGAGAAAATGTAAGTAAATATTTATATAATCTTTTGATGGATAAGAACTTCTTGCATGTAAAAGCAATGGACAAAAATTGATGAAAAAAATGTTGGATATGACAAAACAAAAAATATAAAATAAATTTATGCCCCACATATGATGAAGGATAATAAAAGGCAGATAACAACTTGAAAAATTTGTAACAAATATGAGATAAAATGGACTAGTATTTTGGGTATATAATTAGCTAATCATTGATAAGAGATTTTTACTGTTTGTAAAATGCCAACAGAAAAAGTGGGCAAAAAAAGACTTGAACAATTAAGAGAGGAATACAAATGATTAACAAATATAGGAAAATATTTTGTTTCACCAGTCATAACAAATGCTCTGATAAATAGATGCAAATAGCTATAATTTTGCCATGTAAAAAAGGGTTAAAATATTAAAATAGTATATGACAATGGCAGAATTTTCTTAGTATATACGTATGCAAGTTTATCCTATACATTTTTTAAAAAGACTAGAAAAAGGATATAAAACTTATCTCTGGTAAGCCAGGTGCCGGGCGTGGTGGCTCACGCCTGTAATCCCAGCACTTTGGGATGCTGAAGTGGGTGCATCACCTGAGTTCAAGACCAGCCTGGCCCACATGGTGAAACCCCATCTCTACTAAAAATACAAAAATTAGCTGGGTGTGGTGGCGCATGTTTGTAATCCCAGCTACTTGGGAGGCTGAGGCACGATAATCACTTGAACCCAGGAAGCGGAGGTTGCAGTGAGCTGAGATCGCACCACTGCACTCCAGCCTGGGCAACAGAGCGAGACTCTGTCACAAAAAAAAAAAAAAAAAAAAAAAAAAAAAAAGCCAGGGATGGTGGCATGTACCTGTAGTCCTTGTTACTCAGGAGGTTGAGGTAGGAGAATCCCTTGAGTTCAGGAGTTCAAGTTCAGCCTGGGCAACATAGTGAGATCTTGTCTCTAAAACAAAACAAACTCTCTGGATGGTAGGATGATGGGGAATTTAAATTTTACTCCTTATATCTTTCTTTGCTAAAATAAAAACCCATTACTTCTAATAACAAAAATCCAATACTCTCAGTGTGTAAGAAGCAAAGAAAGGAAAGAAAAAATAAGAAAAGATGGAAGGAAGGAAAAAATGAGGGAGGGAAGGAAGGATGGAAGGAAGGAAAGAATTCTTCACTTTCGAGAGGTTAGGAGGCAATGAAAAGTTTAGAGTGATAAGGGTCTAGTGTTGAGAATATATTAAGAACTCTTACAGCTGAACAAAAAAGAGAGAACTCAATTGAAAAGTGGGCAAAGGACTTAAACAGATGTTTCTCCAAAGCAGTACATAAATGGCCAAAAAGCACATTAAAAGATGTTCAACATCATTTAGTCATCAGGGAAATGCAAATTGAAACCACGATGAGACACCACTTCACACTCATTAGGATGGTAAGAAAGGGGAGGAAGGAAGGAAGGAAGGAAGAAGGGAGGGAGGGAGGGAGGAAAGGAAGGAAGGAAGAAGCGGGAAGGGGGAAGGGGGAAGGAGGAAGGGAAAGGAAGAAGGGAAGGAAGGAAGAGTGGGTGGGCTAAATGGGTATGCGGCTTCCTCTGGGTAATGGAAATATTTTGTAACTAGATAGCGGTGGTCGTTACATTAAGTATCACTGAATTGCCCGCTTCAAAATGGCTAACTTTATGTCATGTGAATTTCATCTCATTTAAAAAAAAAGAAAAAAGAACACTCTTCCCATCTCACCACAAAAAGTTTGGAATGGCCCTTCTAGAGTGTCAGCAACTGAATGGAGAACAACTTAAAATAGATTTGTAGCATATCCTTGAATCTGAGACCTCGGATTCAGAGTTGAAACGCCTGTAGAGCACGTCTCGCCTGTGAAGAGATTCTCCTCCTATAATCTGCTATGAATTTTTTGGATCTATTTTTCCACAGAATACACCTACGGGACATTTTAACAGATACAGTTTCTGAATTTTTATTGGGGCATAGGGTGAAAAAGTGATTTTTAAAACTTAATTCAAAAGCCCAACTGATAAACAAATACAAAGTTTGAAATTATGGCTCGTTTTATCTAACTTTAATTTTCATATTTACCGATGAAAAAGAACTAAATCATGATCTAACAAAATTATTAGCCACTCAAGGAAGCATACCAACAGATCATAATAGCTATTTTTCACAGTTGCTTAAAAATGTGTCAGAACAGTTGAGTGTAATTTTAATTAAACAAATTTGCAACTATGAGTATAATAACTGCCCTGACATTTTTACATTATAGCTTGAGAAGGAAAAAAAATTCTCCTTTTATTGCAAGAAGCATGAAACTTAAGTAAAAATATTATTTAAAATAGTCAAGCAGTATAATTACAGTATGTAAAATGCATAAAGCGGGTCACATGGTACAGGGTTCAATTTCCGACCTCCACTTGGTCCAGCCACTGGCTGAGTGAAGCTGCCTGTGGGGCAGAGTGGTATCCAAGATCTCAGACAATTCCAGTCATGGAAGAAGGACTCCACACAGACAGGATGCAGGAGCACACCTGCCTTAGAGGGCCCTGGCTACATTCTCTAAGAGACATTTGTTTCTTGAGAAGCACTTGAAACAGCTCGGCTTTGAAGGTTAGAGGGACCTTGAATTTTGTTTTTCTATTAACTATTAGGATTTTTCAATCTTGAATATCTATATTGATCTCCTTTACTTAAACTATGCTAAGAATAGCTTCCATTCAGACTAGTTGTCTTGAGAATTTGATCTGTTTAATATTGCCAGATTTATTCCTATATCAGACATGATATAAATTTATTTGGGATTCATATTTAAATAGATTCTCCTGCAGTAGGAATCCCAAAACTAAGATGTTCAATGCATAGGTATTCATTGATTCAATCTGGGTTGAAAAAAATTCTAAATATAATCAACTCTTATCTGTTTTCCCAGCAATATGTTCCTCACACCTTCCTTTCCCAGCTTTCTTTCTCTTATTTTGGGGAGGCTGTTTTTAGTTTGTGAGGTGAGTGGAGGTCAAGTCTAATTTCAAATTGTGCATACTTGGTATTGTATTGCACTTTGCTTCCCAAGGAGTGGGTTTCTCCTTTGGAGGAGGCAATTCTAGGTAGCAGGTGAACAGATTCCCCTGCCATACAAAACTGAGGGGAAGTAAATGCAACTTTAAGAAGTTTTCTCCCCCATGTGCCATATTAAGAAATGCTGATCAAAGCATCGCTCAGACTCCATTCATATTTTCAGGTCTTAATTTGCATGCCACATTCTTTCTTAAGTTAGACACACCGGCTTTACTTGATGAAGTGAATTTAATGAGGCTTGTCTTAAGTGGGCCACCCCAGTGCTGGGGAACTCTGATAGCCAATCATCACGTCTGTGTAATTCTCCCTTCTCAGAGAGGGCTGACAGGAGCGCTTTCAGCCATCTTATCCCACCCTTCAAGTGAGCTATACGAGGAAGGAAAATCAGAACGGGTAAATGACAGCAACGTGAAACTTCCCTGCAGTATTATTTCAAATGCCTATTACCAGACACATAAGTATGAAGAGGCAGGTCTGGTTTCCAGAGTCAGGACGTTTTGCTTGCTCCATGAGACACCAACCCTTTGCATAAATCCATTAAATCAAGTATTCTCTAGTTATGAACATTTGTGGAATAAATACAAGTAAAGACACAACGGGTGGGATATTTAAAGAAACATGATCATCCAAAGTATTTTTCTACCATTGAACTGACTACTAGAAGACTACTCATTGTCAAATCCATGTGGTCTGCGCTTGTTTTCTGATGACACTACAGTCTCACTCCTGCAAGAGACTGTACCTTCCAATGGCTTTCATTCCCAGCCTCTGCTCTTTGACTTCCATCTCTTGGGTCTCCCTTCTTAGTTCCTCACTCACTGTCTCCACCATCCTTTAAACCTTGGTGTTCCCTCGGGTCCTTTCCTCACCTTGCTCTTCACCTGTTCTAGACATTCACCAGGCATTTGGGTCATGTCTGGAGCTCCAGTGGTCAAGAGTAGTACACGTTCCAATCCTGGCCTCTCTCTGCTGAGCTCTTAGGGTAACATTCCCCTGTGTCCTGCCTCAAACTCAGGAAGTCCAAAAGTCACTAAATCATCTTCTCCACCAAAGCACTGCTGCCCCTACTTAATCCTCATCTCCATTCCAACCACCAAACTCTTGGCCGCACAGGTCAGGACTCTGAGAGTTATGTGGTTTCTTCATCCCCACGATCTCTCCTTTGAACTGGCCCCGTTTCCCATAGATTTGAGCTCCTGTCTTTTTTTTTATATTGTCAGCTTCTCCCCACAAGGCCCCCGGCACTAACTCAGCCCAGACTCTCATCTCCTGTCACTCAGACTATTTATTAAATTTTTCCTTGACCTGTTTTCCAACCACCAACCTTACCCTTGGCCAACAAAGTTAAGATAGGTAATCATTTAAAAACTGCACATAGTAGGATTATTTAATGACTCTCCACATTTTCTACCAGGAAAGCCCACATTTTTATAAGGGAATACAGGCTTTAGGATCTAGCCCCTCATCTCCTCAGCCTCGTTTTCCCAACTCTCCCATCCTCCCTATTATGCTGCTCACACTACTTCACTCTTACATTTCTGTCTGTATACGTGGGCAACATGTACAAAGACAGACATATACATTCTACCTGAAATTTCTAGGCCCCTTCCATATCAAATTCCTATTTGTTTTTCAAGATTCAGCTGAACCACAATCCGCAAACATTTCTTGAGTATATAAGGCAAAGTAAGGTGCTACCCCTGTTTGAAATCATGGTGACACGTTTCTAATTTAAGACATTTTTTCACAATGAATCACATATACCTATGTGATACCTCCTATCAGACTGTGAGCTTCTTGAGGACAAGCACTCATTTTTTAAAAGTTATTTTTATATCTCAGACCATAAATATCACAGATGGCAAACTGCCTCACCCATGGTAAGTGTTTAACCCATTTATGGGACATCCTGTGATCCCTGGAACAGATGTGTTACAACCTGACATGGTGCTGATTTTCAGCCGTTCTAGCTATAAGGAAAAAAGCCATTTTCAGTTCATACTGAAATGGTCACCTCAGCCTCAACCCTGTGGTGCTCCAGAGTTCTCTCAGAGGGAAGCTGATCACTTCAACCTCTTACCTCTTCCTTCTTGTCCTCTGCCAGTGCCTGAAGTCTGCAATTGCATGTGTTTTAGAACTCATTTGATCTCAGGTGATGGCAGTGCACATCAAACCAGCTTAAACAACAGGAGAGTTACCACCGGCTTAGGGAATCTGAGGAAGGACTGGATAACCAGGCTGTGGGAAGGGCAGCATGCGGCTGGGCGCCAGAACACCAGGGAACCAGGGACTCAGGCACACCAGCACTTTCCCTCCATCTCTCATCTCTGTTCACCACATTCTCCCCTTGATGGGAAACGTGGCCGGGGATGGTTCCTAGGTACTCACAGCTTCAGCCGCTGGAGGAGTAATCCAAGCGCCCTTTGGTTTTCTGTCCAAACATTACAGAGAAGAGGCCTCGCCTGCCCAGCTTTGCTGGGTGCCCATCTTCAGATCTGTCCACGGGGCCAAAGCGTGGAGTCCCACTCTGCCAACGTGGAGGCTCCCTTACTGACCATGCCTTTGCGGGAAGAAGCTGCTTCTAGAAAGGGGTTCTGACAGCCCGGGTCAGAGGTCCACTATTGCTGTCACTCCAAATAGGATGGTCTAGGGACAGAGTGGTTTGGAAATTACACCTTCAAGAGACCTGAAGTTTCTCTGCCTTCCCTGTACAGACAAGCTTTTTTCTTCCTTTCATGTTACCTTCCTTCAGAAATTTTCCCTGTTCCTCATCTGTGGCAAACAAACAAGCAAACTTACACACAAACACATTACAATTTGACTGCTTGAATTTCCATCCAACCCTGTGATCTCCCCCGTTCCTGTCAGAAAGGGTTTCCCAGGTAACCGTGAATAATTTACATACTTCCTACAGTTTTCTGCTCCTGGAAGCTAAAGAGTTTAAAACTGTATTTTGTATAGGATATGACCAACCTCGTTAAAATCCCTTCTCTTTTTGTTTCCTTTTTTCCTTTTCCCTATCTGAATATTTGGCCTGCACCAAATAATTTTTAAATCATCAATTTACTTAGGACCCAACTTCTGTTTCTAAGGAGTATTCTCCACCCTAGTCAGTTTCTCCCTTTCAAGAAATCATCATAATGGATAGTAAAGAGTTCTGGTCACCTAGCTGGAAAACACTGCCAACTGAGGTTAAGTTGTGGCCTATATATCAAGTTAGGTTAGTTACCTCTGGAGAAAAAACAATATAACATACGTTGTTGATGGAATTTCTTTCTCTTTATCATTAATTCATCAAAAATACGTATTGAGTACTTACTCTGTTCTATATCCCAAATATAGTAGAAAGCTAAAGACCCAGTAATTGATAGTAACTCAGTGCAGTGATGAAAAGACGTATAAACACCAGGCAATGTGGCAATTGCTATAACAGAGAAATGGGTTAGAAATGCTTATTCCATCATCACTGCAGAATTTCAAAAATTGTATGCCATGTGCATTGCCGGACAGGCAATCTGCTACGAGAAATTAGCATATTGAATGAATTCTGAGATAAGCAATTACTCTAGTAAAATTCTGTGTAAATGTCTAGACCACAGCTGTCCTGCCTTATATAAATATTTCACCTGCTTAATTTTCACTACTAGTTTCCTCTTTCTTCATCTTACTACTGTTATTTCCTTTAGGGGAAAGTGAAAGCAAAGAAAAGCAGCCACATCTGTCAAACACAGAATCCAAAACCTACTGCAGGGTATGCCTTCATTCCCGAGAAGTATAACACAAATTAGGCTCATCTTATAAAATACAGTCATGCACTGCACAACGGCATTTCAGTCAAAGAAAGACTGCATATGCAATGATGGTCCCATAAGATTATAGTGGAGCTGAAAGCTACCTATCACCCAGTGACATTATCATCAGTGTAAAGTCACAGAGCAACACATTACTCATGCATTTGTGGTGATGCGGTGTGAACAAACCTACTACGCTGCCACTTTTATGAAGTATGTTTAGATATGTTCAGATACTGTACTTAACATTGTGTTACAACTCCCTACAGTATTCAATACAGTAACATGCTGTGCAGGTTTGTGGCCTAGAAGCAATAGGCTACACTGTACCCCATACAGCCTATGTGTGCAGTAGGCTGCACCTTCTAGGTTTGTGTAAGTACACTCCATAATACTTACATAACAAAATCTAATGACGAATTTCTCAGAATGTATCCCCGTCGTTAAGTGATGCATGACTATAGTTATGTTCACAAAAGATTATTAGGTAACTGGAATTTTGTTGATTTTGTCCTCATCTCTGAACTGTGCTCCCATGGAAAAGAAATTAGTCAAAACTGAGATCTAACCAGGTCTGAGGTGAAATATCCAAACCTTTATTTGCATGGGTTTACCTGGAGGGAAAGCCTAAGGAGGATGTGGGAGAGGGGCTTTGCAAGGCTGGTAGAAAGGCGGGGCTCAAAGCTGAGTTGCTTAAGTCCCAGGTGACAAGTTGACAGTGGGGAAACGTACAGCTCTGAAATACCACTGGACACCATGATGGCCCCAAAGCCTCAACGGTGGTGTCCCCTGGGGGCCCAATGGGAGTCACTGTCATGTCCAGTGGAAGTTAGCTTGCTGTGGACACCCCCTGGGACCTACAGAAATACTTCTGGGGGGCTCTGCGGGATACTGGGATCCATGACAGCAGGTAGGTGGCGATGCACTTGGGATATCTGAGTATGAACATTATTACGTACCCTCATCTGGACCTGCAGGCTGGGGATGTCTGAGTCTGAGAACTCATTTCCTACGTGTCTGATGAGTGCCTTTTCCTTGAGGTAGTTCCCACTAGAAAACAGGGATTCCCTCATTCGTACCAGGCCTCCTTCAGGCATTATCTTCTTCCTGTAAATGTCATGGAACATTCTACCTTGCTTTTTCCTTACTAGACACCCAATTAAATTCCAATCATGATAACACCTTCCCTGGCTCTAAACCATACATGAATATGTAGATCACTATGAAGCTGTACACTATTAAACAAAACAGAAACAAAGCAAAAAACCAGCTGAAGCCTCTGTAAAGACCTGCTGGATGCCTGGATGTTCTAACTTAACCATCCCCACCACCTGCGCATCTGAGATTCAGCCTTGTGATTCCAAGCCCAGTCCCACCTCTCCGGAGAGACCATCTGGAGCCTGGCCAGCGGCTCACCATCAGGGCAGGCGGGCAGCCTTGCTGATGATTCTGCTGTAACAGCAGAGTCCCGCATCCCAGGCTGTGGCCTCCACATTCCTCTGTAACTGGGCCTTACCTAGGACTCCACTCTGCCAATGACTGGATCGCTGTCCCCCTAAGCCTTATTTCTCTGTGACCACTCATCTGCCCCACCACACATATCCACAGTGTCCACTGGCCACTTGTCTCTCTACCAAACATCCCTCCTAAGACAGACACCCAGGATCTTGGGTGCCATTAGGACCCCTGGCAGACATCTGTGCACATCATCAGTCCCTCCCCCCGGGGCTGACCTCATCCCTGTCTATGCTGGCCCCTTGCCTTCTTTGGTTCACCCTCCTGGCTGCTACTCAAGCCTCAGTTATGAGCAAATTAAAGAAAAGAATTAGCACAAGAGACATGGGAGCTGCCTCAGCCTGCACCCCTGTGTCAGTCGCGGCCCTGCTTGTGTGATCCTGGAGCCCAGCTTGTTTCTTGCTCTGGAGAAGACCAGCAACGTGAGGCCCAAGACTGCCAGACCTGTCTGTGCTGCTCAGAAATGTGAACTGGTGAAGCGTGACTCCAGTAGGTGTTACCTGCATATCCTTGAGACTTTCTCACAAATCACAGGCCTGTCTTTAGAGACCTAACTCCAAGATCTACAGTCAAGATAATGGTCCCTCTGAAGGGGCCAGGATGTATCCAAATTCATAAATCTCTTCGTTTTCAAGACAATATCATTAACTGTGGGAGCTATGGTACATTCAAGGCTGAGCCATGTGTGGGATGGGAAGAACTCAGGAGACACAGGTGGATGGACAGTGAGTTAGGCGGGGATGAGGGGCAGACTCCCATGCTGGCTCTGGACATCGAATTTGGGTGGTAGCCAGAAAGAAGTGATCTTGTGAACGGAGGGCACAAGTTTAAAAACCTCGAACAATTCAGAGTGTCACTCATAACTGCCCAAAATGAGGGGGCGGGGGCGGGGCCGCCCCACCCTACCCCATTTCTGCCAGCAATTCTGTGACTTATATCATGTCACAGGTTGCTCTTGGTGTGTGTTTAACTTGCTTGAATCTAATCATGAGGGGGTGGGGCAGGGAACATCAAAGGATGTGAGTTACTCTCATCCCTCATCTTGGAAAGAGAGCATTCCATCGCCACACTACAAAAAGGTGCCCAGGATGCCAAGGGAAGACAATAGCCAAAGACTCGCTGAAAACCGCTAAGTGAAAGTTAAAAAGGATTTCATGAAGGTGTGCATTGCAACAGCAGAACATTGAAGATACAGCTCCTTCAGCGCCCGGCTTCTCTCCCTGCCTAGCTGCTGTTGAGCAAGCAGTCTCTCTGCCTCTGCCCTTCTCTCTGCAGAGACACTACTCCTGGGTCCCTGCCAGGACAGCACTGAAGGGAATCCCGAAGAATCTTTAGGCAAATGGTGATGTGCAGGGCAACAAGGAGGAACAAGGTGTTTGGGGACTGAACAAACTGTGATTTAATTCATCTAATGCTGGTGTCAAGCAGGGCTGCTATGTGATGGGAATGAGATGCACCCATCGTAAGCTGTTAAAAGAAAGCTTGGGGAAGGAGGAAAGAGAAAGGAAGAAGGGGAAAACAGATATCCAGGCTAAAAACAGTTTGTGAGAATTGCTTTTTCGGCTGTCTGAACCACCACAACAAAAGTTCTTATACCCACATCACCAGCATTACAATAAAAATGGAAAAGAAAAGGAAGCAGCCAGGAGAGTTTTAAAGAGGCCTGGCAGTGTCTGGCCATCCCCTTGGTACTGCATGCTGCCAATTTCAAGGAGACACAACTTCTGACAAGCTCCCTGTACCCATGGCTCTCTCAAGATTAGCTGTCATTGGCTTTTCAGCGCTAGGCTATCTTTAAGTTCAGATAACTGCACTTATTTGGCTCTGTCCAGAGGAATAAGACCAGGATGTGATTTGCAAACCAGAAATGTCATCTCATCTGCCACTGTCCACAGCATTTTCCCAACACAGGACCCAGAGAACACCCAGACTGGCTATATAACTCTGCTGACCAGCATCGATGCCACTTTACAAAGTCTTTATTTTATTTATTTATTTTTTTTGAGACACAGTCTCGCTCTGTCACCCAGGCTGGAGTGTAGTGGCATGATCTAAGCTCACTGCGACCTCCGCCTCCTGGCTTCAATTAATTCTCCTGCCTCAGCCTCCTGAGTAGCTGGGATTACAGGCGCGTGCCACCACGTCTGGCTAATTTTTGTATTTTTAGTAGAGACGGGGTTTCACCACATTGGTCAGGCTGGTCTCAAACTCCTGACCTCGTGATCCGCCTGCCCTAGCCTCCAAAAGTGCTGGGATTACACACATGAGCCACCGTGCCCGGCCTACAAGTATTTTTTTAATTAAAAATTTCCTCCTTAAATTGCAGGAATAACATGCATCATTTCCAAATGACAGTTTTATACAAAGTCTCATTCTGTTTCCCTTCATTATCCCAACTTCCCAGTTATATGCATTTGGCTGCCAAGTCCAAGGCTCCCAGTTGTACTGAGGTTATTCTTTATTTTAAAGTACAAGTTAGATTGACTATGACACTGGCTTTTTACTCTAATAGCTAACTCGTTTTTTGGAAACTGTCTTAAATTTTCAAAGCATTTCACATAGATAGTGTCATCTAGTTTTCCTAGCTACCATTTATGGATGACATTACTCCTGGTGGTAGATGAGGAAACTAAGGCTCCAAAAGTCCCAACATCACACATCTAAGGTGTGAAAGTCAGGACTCACCCATGCCTTCCAATTCTAAATTCTGAGCTCTTCCACTAAACTACGTGGACTCTACTTCTCATAAACTATTTCCAGTCATTGAATAACAGTTCCTCTAAGGAAGGAAGAAGCACTAGTTAACCATCCAGCAAGCATTATGTAGTAAGTCTCCCTCCACTGATATAAACATTGCAGGAAGACGAAAATGAGCTATTGTCTTAATCTGTTCCTGCCACTATACAAAGTAGCTTAGATTGAGTAATTAATACACAATAGAAACGCATTTCTCACGGTTCTGGAGGCTGGGAAGTCGAAGATCAAGGTGCCAGCAGATTTGGTGTCTGGTGAAGGCTGTCTCTCTCCACTTCATAGTTGGCTCCTCTTACTCATCCTCACATGGCGGAGGGACAAAGGACAAAAGGGACGAACACTGTGTCCTCCCCAAGGTGGAAGAGATGGAAGGAGCAGGCAGCTCTCTGAAGCCTCTTCTATAAGGGCACGAATCCCATTCATGAGGGCAGAGCCCTCATGACTTAATCATTTCCCAAAGGCCTCGTTTCTTAATACCAACACAATAGAGATTCCTGTTTGACATGAATTTTGGAGGAACACAAACATTCAAACCATAGCACTTACTATGCCACAGGCCTCTAAGGAGTTTCCATCATGTGGAATAGCCTAGAAAAGTTTAAATGCAAATAGAGAATAAAAGCTAAGAATGAGCCAACAATAAGCTGCAGTTACACAGAGTTCTACACATGGAGCTGACCGGTGGCAGGTCGGAGAAAGAGGAAGGCGGTGTAAAAAATCTGATGAGCCCTCCAGGTTGAAATTGCTCTGCCGAGGGCTTCCTGCTCTGGCGAGTAGGGCTGGGCTGTTTTATAAGTGGCCCCTAGTGAGATTGACAATGGATTCTTAACCCAACGGTGGTCCATGTGCAGGTGGCCCAGCACCCCAGGAGGCAGCCTGATGCAAGGGGATCTGCCTGAAAGGCATGATGGTGTTTAGCTCAGTCAGTCAGGCTATTTCCCTCCAGAATTTGCACTGGATAATGAAGCAGACTGGCTAGAAAAGACTGCAGGTAATGTAGAAAGAGAAGAGATGTTAATGTGTGTATGGTGGGGAAGTAGAGGATACAGACTGGCCAGCAGAAGGAAGGACAGAAACAGAGCCAGAGGCACCCAGAGGCTGAGGGTCTCTGGCCCTTAGACCTTCCCTCAGTTCTGAAGAGCTTTCCAGTTTTGATTCAGGTGTATCCTGAGATAAATTCCCTTTGTCTTAAAGTACCCACCATGAGTGGGTCTATCCTGGCAACAGTTTTTGGAAGCTGAGTTTCTATGACAGGTAGTTCACACACATTAACTAGAGTTGGGACTGTGTACATCCCATTCATAAGGGATTAGAAGGGAGACAGACATACACAGCTTGCTATTCGGTTTCCTTGGTAAACTTTCCCAGACTGAAGGCCTCTTTCCTCTGAATCTGCAGCCCTGGATGATGGGTACCTTCCATTTCAAGTCAATCAAAGTTTCCTGAGTGTTAATTACATGCAAGAAACTGGGAAGGCCATTCATTAGGCTTAACCAGCCTTGTTACATCATATTTTTTATTGCTATTTCACTTTTCGCATGTTATTTAGCTCCATAAAAACCGGGATCTTGGCCAGGTGTAGTGGTTCACACCTGTAATCCCAACATTTTAGGAGGCCAAGGAGGGAGGATCCCTTGAGGCCAGGAGTTCAAGATCGGCCTGGGCAACGAAGCAAGACCTCCATCTCTATTAAAAAAAAAAAAAAAGTTAGCCAAGTGTGGTGGCCTATGCCTGTAGTCCTAGCTACTTGGGAGACTAAGGTAGGAAGACCACTTGAGCCTAGGAGTTGCACTCCAGCCTGGGCAACAGAACAAAGCCCTGTCTCAAAACACAAAAACAAACAAACACCCCAGAATCTTGCCTCCATACCCTTATGACCCCACAGCAATTAGCCCAATGTTTTCCACAGCACAAGAACTCAAGAATCAATTGGCAAATGTATTTATGGCACATCTCTTTGCATGAAGTTTAAGGAAGGCTAGAAGTGGTGGTGCCTAAATCAGCAGCTACGTAGTTCAGGTGAAAGAGAAAATAAAGAAGGATGTGTAAGAACAGTAAACCTACTGACATATAGGAGAAGGCCGGAGGCCTGTCCACCTGACCCACGTGGCTAACTAGACCCTGGGCAGCATCTGACTCAAGTGGAGCCCATCCACCAACTGCCTCTGATCTAGCAGGAAAAGTTGAGTTGGGCTAATCCGGTCCCTTTGTTGAGACCATCAGAATAACACAAGGGACTTGAAGTTGGTGCTGATTGCTGGACAGTGAAGGTCATGTGGACTCGGGGCCCAGGTGGGGTATTCTGAACTCTGTATAAGACAAAAAAGAGCAGAAACGACATGGTGGGAAGGTGGGGAGAGACAGAATAAGTGTGAGAAAATGAAATGGAATAGGGAAGTGGTGACACCATGGAAAGAGTGAAGCTCAGACCCTTCAACTGCCTCAGTTCCTGCTCTTTCCAAAGCCTGGTTAATTTGTCCAGCTTGTCCTACATTTGAACAAGTGGGTCTCTCTGTTCCTTGGGACAAGAGCCCCCACTAGAACACCTCCTCCTGTGATGTGTTCTATCCCTTCTCCCCACTGCTCATAACATAAAATGAAGTACAATTTTATGAAACTTTTTTTATAAGAAGCATAAGACATTCTCCATTAAAGAAAATCCCAGTGGTTCTCAAACTGGGGGCAATTTTGCCTACCAAGGGGGCACTGGAGATATTTTTAGTTGTCATGTGTGTGCGTGTATGTGTGTGTCTGTGCGCGTGCACGGTAGGAAGGTTGTTACTGCTATCTAGTGAGTAGAGGCCGGGGATTCTGCTAAACATCGTATAATGCACAGGACAAAGAGTTACCAGGCCCAAAATATCAGTAGTGCAGAGGTTAAAAAACCCTCCCCAAGACCAAGGGATGACAATGCAAAGCATATACCAACTTCTCTATGTAAGGGCCGAAAACTCGTCTGATGCGCACATATGGAAAACAGTCATGATTGGGAAAATGTAAAAGTGTAAGAGCTGTTGTGTTCGGGTGTTGAGATGATGGGTGAATCTCATCTTTTCTATTTTCAAATTTGTATGCATTGGCATTTTTATTGGGTGTAATTTGACAAAGTGAAAATGAATGAACATATGGAAAAAAGAATGAAGAGAGGGAGACAGGAAGGAGAATGCACTGCTCCAGTACTGCAGGAGGAAGAGCTTTGACCAGGTCAACGTCCATGACTCATGCACACTGGGAAGCCAGGCCAGCCACACCGAGAAGGTGCCTCTCATGGTGAAGACCCTCTTGAGAATTCTGTCAGACATGGTCACAAGTGTTCTAGTCTACCCACTTAAGCCAAATTATAAAAAATGGCAAGTGATAGATCACAAAAGGGAATATAACCATGAGGAAGTTCAAGTAGGGATGAAGAGAACTGAGAGGCCCCTTTAGTGACCTGGGGTTGAGGGAGGAGCTCACCTCTAGCATCTCAGCTCTGACTGACAGTGCACAGACTCAGGAAGCCCCATCTGCGACTGTGAGCAGGAAGTGGCAGGCCAGCAGTCCCCGGAACAAGGAGTGAGTCTATGAGCAGAATCGGGTTAGGGGCATCAGTGAATCCACCCTTTCAAACCTGCCCTTGCTGCAGATACCTGGGGCATTTTTCACCACCAAACCCCTCCTTGCAATCAAAGGAAAGGGATGGTAGTAAAAAAAAAATTTTACTCCCCAATTCCCACTCTCAAAAAGGTCTGTCTTAAAGCCAGACCAAATCTGACCTATTAAGGTCTACTTTGTCTTACAGTCCATCTCCACAGTTCATAAATAATCAGCTGGCATCTCCAAATGAAGTGTTGGCAGCTAAAGGCAATGGCTAAGTTCCCCTGGGATACTCTTCACTCTTCCTCATACCCCATTTTGCTAAGAAATATTCTGAGCAACTGGTGTTACAGAATAAAACAAAAAACAACACCATAATTCCTTAAGGTGCATGAACTTGGAGACTGAAGATGATCAATGTATTCATATTACAAATGTGATGGAGGGGATATCAAGTTCATATACTGACATACATGATTGCCTTCTCAAGTCTCCCATTTAGTCAATGCATCATATAGTACCATATTCCAAAGATGTCAAAGGACATGGCAACCTGGTCCCCTTCCCTACAGGTAATCACCATTCTATTTTTTGTTACATTAAGTTTAGAACTACAAGAACTCTTCTGCACGTTAAGTGGCCCATAGATTAAGTGGCAAAGACCCTCTGGGAGAAGGTTCTAAATGACTGGCTGGAACAAAACGCCATTTTCTTCTAACCTGAACATCTATCCTCCTTCAGGGCACAAGCTGTTATTTGTAATCAAGAAAAAATTTCTCCATTTGTCTAATATTATGAAATTAGGCTCTTCTTCGGCAGTTTATGTCTCCCTGAAACATCTTGGGATCTGTTTTTGTTCAGAAAATAACATGCAACGTGTCTAACGACTTTGTCTTTCACTCAGTCCTATCACGTCTCACACTTAAGCATGCTTTGATGTTAGGCAAAGAAAGGGTCGGCGCTCTTTTGCACTATCAGGCTATATTTCATTTATATGTTTATGGAATAAAATAAATCTTGAGGTCAAGGTTCAAGGTCAGGAGACCATTCACTTCCTATCACCTAAGTAGTCAGGGACTTGGTGGGGAGATGGGGAGGATGGGCACAGGGTGCTCAAGGAAGGATGATCTCCCAGTAGAGGGTTTTGGAATTTGGGAGTCAGAGTCTTCAAAAAAAACTTCATGTATCCCCCTCCCCCAAATCAAGGGTTAGCAACCTACAGCCCATGGGCCAAATTCACATTCCACTGTCTGATATTGTAGTCAAAGCTTCATTGGAACACAACCAGGCTCCTTTGTTTATATTTTATCTGTGACTGCTTTTGCACTTGCAGACTTGAGTAGTTACGAGAGAAATCTTATGACCCACAACGTCAAAAATATTCACAATCTGGTCAGCCCTTGCCCTAGATACTTATTGAGGATCACTGCACAGTAAGCCATCATTACTAAATAATGTGTCCTTTTCCTCAGGTATATTTCCCAGTACTGTAATAGCTAGGTTTTGCTTTGGCTGTCAATAATGAGATCTAAAAAATAAGTGGCCTAAACAAGGTATTTCTCTCTCAGCTACAAGTCCAGGGCTGAAGTGACACAGATTCAAGCCCCAGGCTATTTCTTCTATGTTGTTGCTCCACTCCATACAGTCTCCATTGCCAAGTCCGCACCATGGCCCAAAATGGCTGCAAGAATACTAGCCATCACAGTCACAATGAAGTAGCAGGAAGAAAAAAGAATACCCTCAATTCAACTTTTAAAGAAACTTCTGGAAATACCACTAAACACATCTACTTACAAATCATTGGCCAATTTAGAAGTATAGACTTCTAGCTGAGTGGAAAATTGCTGAGCTAAAAAACCAGGTTTTTGTTATTACAACAATGGCATGAGGCAGAAGGACGGGGGCAGGGGGAATTGGATATTGAGAGATAATTAGCAATCTCTGCCACAGGAACCTTACTCCAATCACCAAGCCCCTTATTTCTTAATAAGGGACACATGCCCTTGGCAGCCATGCCCTTTGGCATAGCTCCAAAAAAATAGTCTATAAATATCTGTACAATATGTATTCAAGACATTGTAAGATCAGTGCCAATGAAGAATGTTTTCAAATTTCTAATCAAAAGTACTGTCTCCTTCAGAAGGAACTGAATAAGTTCACCTTTTAGCAGGTCAGTATGGGGTTGTGTGTGTATACCTGCATTAAGAGTATTTCTAATACTCTATTTTTTTTAGAAAAATATTTATTTTTTTCAGTGATTTTTTTTAATGGGGTGTCTGCCTGCCTGATCTGTCCCTGGGTCCACAGGACCCCAACACTACCCTACTCCCACTGCAGTCTTTCCAGTTAGCATGCCCATTCAGCATTCCCCTTGAACACTACCAAATTATCAAAAAGATTCAATGTTTACCCCCTCCTCAAGTGACATCTACCCCCCACATCCAGCACAACAGAAATTTCTCTCAGCTTCCTAGGTTTTTAGCATCTCTCTGTAACCTAGTAGGTTCTGAAAATCTCCAGTGCGAAAGGGTTACTCATCCCACTTTTGACGCTGGCAAGGGTGAAGCTACGGCCATATCAGAAAGTAAGGGACTGTGACCTCAAAAATTAAGAATGAATTCCAAATCCCTGATTCCAGAGTTTTCTGTAGGTTGAGCATCTCTAATCTAAAGATCCAAAATCCAAACTGCTCCAAAATCTGAAGCTTTCTGATTATTCAATATACATAAACTTTATTTTATGCACAAATTTTTAAAAATATTGTATAAAATTACCTTCAGGATACACGTATAAGGTATATATGAAAGAAATTTTGTGTTTAGACTTGGGTCCCATCCCCAAGATATCTCATTACATATATGCAAATATTCCAACATCTGAGAAGATCCAAACTCTGAAACACTTCTGGCCCCAAGCATTTTTTGGATAAGGGATACTCAACTTGTACTAAAAAAGAATGGGAAAAAATTACAAGTCACATGCCTTTGGCATATCAATTAGTACTCAGCAATCAGTCTTGTTCCAATATTTTTCCTTCTCTTCAAATGTAAATAACTAGACTTCTAGTATCAACATGGAAACTCCTGGAAATTTCTTTCTCACATAAAAGTCCAGGGCTGAATTGGCACTCCACAGCATCAGGGATCCAGACTACCCCATACATTCTATTTTCTGTAAAGTTAGGAGACAGATATCATCTGCAAGCTCCAAAATATATTTAAAGGCTGCCAACAGCAGCTGAAATCAAGTAGAAGCCAAATGAGAGGAAGTGAAGAGAAGAAACACACAGAGTGGCACATCTCAGAAAACTCCAGCAAAAACATGGTTTTTTTGTTTGTTTGTTTCGTTGTTTTTTTTTTTTTTTTTTTTTTTTTAAGAGCTATGGGTTACAATCTGAAGTGTAAAGTCTCTATCTCCAAGTGTTGATAATGGAGTAAGCAAAGGTAATTATTCTGTTTCTAACAAGTGTAGATTTGGGGTGGGAGGAAGACCTATACAAGAAAATCGAAGAGATGAGTCATGTTTAAAGAAAGTTGGTTTCTTGGCATTCTAGAAAAATAAAGCCTTAAGAGCATGAAAACAAGCTAGGTTGAATGTCTATCCCAGCCCCTGCCTGCTATGCCAACCCTCAACCTCCCCCTAGTCTTGTGCAAATAGCTGGTCCAGGAAACCCAATGCATTCAAATATGAGCGGCAAAAAAGCGATCATATGCACACCACTGACAGATCAATTAAAAAAGAATTGAGGGAAAAAAGAGGACAATGGCAGAGAAACAGAAAAGTCACAGAAAAATGTTGCCATTGGAGCATACGAAATTTCTGGCTAAATATTTTACAATCAATTTTTAAAATGTAGTGAAGCAATTTCTCTATGAAGGAAGACCAGAAAGCAGAAATAACTCAGAGAAGAGATGGCAAGAAAGCAGGGGGAGCTAAAATGTGAGCTTGCAGAACCCAGAACGGGGAGAAAAGCAAAGTAACTACAGATGGAAGGTACACAAGGGAGAAAAGACAGAAGAAAACACAGTAAGGGACAGAGAAGATAACAATGAGGAGAGCATACCAAATGAAGCGGAAATGAGAATTTTAAAACATTAGAGAGAAAATAATAGGTACAGAAGTCAGACAAAGGAGAGCCTACTTATGCATAACTGGATCCCTGAAGAATGAAACAGAACAGAACAATGGATCAGAACAAATCCCTAAAGATATAATTCAAGAAAATTTTCCTAAAATAAATAAGAGTCCAATCCAATTTGTGAAACACAATGATATATACTAGGGAGAAAAGATCAATACTGAGGTGGAGCCTGATAAAGATAATAAACTTGAAAGATAAAGAAGGAATCCTTTAAAACAAAAAGCAAAAAGATCAAGTATGGCATCAGATTTCTTTATATGAAATTAAACTTGAGAGGACAATCGAGCAGCACTTACAAGATCCTCCCAAAAAGAAAGACCAAGCCAAGATTTTACTTCCAACCAAACTGTTATTCAAGTATAAACAGATAAACAGTTTTGAACATGCGAGAGCTCAGGGACTATTGTTTCCACAAGTTGTTGAGCAAAATTCTAGATGATGAACTTCAGTCATTTAGATAATTGGGGAAAGGGAGGCAAAACAATTGGCAGTGAACACTGAACATCTTTATCTAGAGAATGAATGCTTTAAAAGACAAAGAAGGCAGCCCAGCGCGATGGCTCACGCCTGTAATCACAGCACTTTGGGAGGCCCAGGCGGGCGGATCATGAGGTCAGGAGATGGAGACCACGGTGAAACCCTGTCTCTACTAAAAAATACAAAAAAATTAGCCGGGGGCCGTAGCAGGCGCCTGTAGTCCCAGCTACTCAGGAGGCTGAGGCAGGAGAACGGCGTGAACCTGGGAGGCGGAGCTTGCAGTGAGCCGAGATCGCATCACTGCACTCCAGCCTGGGCGACAGAGCGAGACTCCGTCTCAAAAAAAAAAAAAAAAGACAAAGAAGGAAACAGGTGGGAGTCTGAATGACAGGATATAACGTGGGAGCCAGGAGCCCTGACAATTTAGATATGACACACCTGGAACAATCAGGCGGGGAAGGGAAAATGGAGGTGTGAATTAGACAGGATTTGGTGACTGTTTCTTCTCTAACAGCTAGGAGCCAAAGGGGACCATTTAAAGGTGACCAGTCAGAAATGCAAATCAAATCACGTCACTTATCTCTCTGCTCCTATCCTTCTATAGCTTCCCACTACAATTAGGGTAAAATTCCAAGTCTGAGACCTTGCAGGTTCCAGGCCCACCTGGCCCTGGAAACACATCACTACCCAACAATCATCACTTTACACAGCCTCCCCCTTGGTCCTTGAGCTGCCGTGTTCTTGGCTGCCTTCTGCATCTCATGTGCCCTTTTCCCCCCAGGACTCCCATGTGCTATCTGCGATGCTCCTTCTTCTTTCTTCACTGCCCATCATCCTTCTGTTCTCAGCTTCCATGTCTCAAAGTGGCCTGCCCTGACTCCCCACATGAAATTAGTTTTTTGATGACACCCAATGCATTTTTCCCTCATAATAGCATGCTTTCATAATTATGTATTTAACGTCTGCCTCTCTCACAAGACTATAAGTTCCAAGAAGGCAGAGCTAAGTCTGTTTGGAACACATTTAATTCCTAGGACGTAATATAGATCTTGGCGTGTGGTAAGTGCTTAACAAATATTTGCTGAGAGACTATCAAAACAGCTTCTACTCCACAAACTGCTCTTTCTGCCCATTTCCTCTGCACCTGGAACATGCTAAGGTAAGAAGTCACTTCCAAAAACAATACTGAAAAGCTGCAGGACTTTTAAAAGATTCTGTTTCATATATTTTCTTTACTAAGGCAGGAAAGATGGAAAATGCATCTTGGAAAGATTTTCAGAGACGACTGATATCAAAGAGTTTTCTGATAAGCTATACATTCACTACAAATTCAGAAGACATTTTGTCTCAGATACCCTGGGTTTCAGCAAATTTTATGATATGCTTCCACATGACATTTATCACACAGAGATAGTCAAGGGTAAAATCAGAAAGCTTTTCACTTACTTTGGATGTACAAACTTGTCTATGAGATCAACCTTTTCCACCAGGTCTCCTCCAATTGTTCGGACTAAGTCATAGAAATCATTTTCTGCGTAATTCTCAGAGGGCAACCAGAATGAAATATCATTGATCACAGCCGGATATTTGCTAAGAGGCTAACAAAACAAGAGGAGAAAAGATACATGAACTTGTTAGTTGAATGAGAATATTTAAATTTTTCATAAAAAGTTGCACTTGACTAATTAGGAAATGCTAGTAAAACATCATTTCAGCATCTAAATTTGCAGAACAAAATGAACTTAAAAGACAAATCAATATTCAAAATTAGCAAATTCCATTATGAATATTACAGATTCTTATCACATTCATGTGTAACATTACCATATATTATATTTATATTGCCATTAACGTTCAACTTAGTACAAAGAAATTTGAATGTATTATATTTCTGTTTTTCCCATTTGAATACTAGAGGAGAAAAGTTCAAATTTAATTAACATGCAATTCATTAACTTCTTGTGATACTTTCAGAAAGCCATTTTAGTAGAGGAATAAGAGCTTATCAAAATTAATATTTCAATTAGTAATGTCATTATTTGTTAGTATTTCTAATTACTAAAATAAAGGATTGGGTTGATAAGTAGTTCCTTGGGGAATTATTTTTCAAATTATGCCTTTAAGGATGTGATAAACATAAATGTAGCCATTTCCCCCACTTTATTCCATTTTTTCCAGCTTACTAGCTCAGTAGTTCACCATTATATAGGACAGACATTTAAAATTAGATATGTTTAGAAGTTACTGTATTTGTTTATTGCTTTCACACACACACACAAATATATATATATCACAACTAAACATATAACTCTCACATATATACATCAAAATTATACATAGATATATGTGTGTATGTTTTGGTCTGTAAGTTACTGCTGCAATAAAAAAAGTTTTGTTACATAACTATGAAATCCTAAGGAAATATCTGCTAAATCCAAACATCTTTTAGAAGGGCAAATTTACAAACTAATTTATGCCAAGCCTGACATTGCTACAAACCCTTTGGTGAATCATTGATCAGAGAAAGTATAAAGCTTTTAAATGGCAAAGTATCTGAAGAACTAAATGCTCAAACATAAATGATTATCCAACTTGAAATATCAATAAAGTTGTCAAACAAATGCATCAGTTTAGAACACACATTTCATACAAACACGATAGTTAGCATCCGGGTGCTGTTGACAAAATATATTGGTTCCTGAGAAGCGTTTTGTTTTCTCTCCTGAAGTCACACTGCTGTGACAAATGACCCATGAGTTAATGTAACAATAGATGACAGGAGTTTGGTGGTTACACAGGTTGTTTTCCCTTTTGTTCCTTATGGAAAATGGAAATTTAGGGAGATAAGAGACTGAGATTGCCAAGAATTAGCATGGAATCTCCTCTTCAATTAATCCAAGCTGAGGTACCACACTTCCTGAGTTCTGATGCCAGGCACGGTGACAGAGAAATGGCAGAAGGTGTCCCAATGAAACACGTGTCAACAATTCATGGACAACAGTCAATATGATAATAACGCAGGCAGCCAGAACACATGCCCCAAGACATTATTAAAATATACATTGTGGTAAATACAGTTTAAAATCCATGCAGTTTAAAAGAAAAACCCAGACAGCTTATTATATTGCAAGCCTATTTCAAGCTAAAAAATATAAAAAGTTTAATGGTTTAACGGAAAAGAAAGCATTTAATCCACTAATAGGTAGGTATCGGACATGGGATATCTACTAGTGGCCTTTGTTTTTTTGAATGGGAGACATACGATTTTGTTGGGAAATAAGAGGCTAACTACAGATCATGGTTACTGAGATGTGGGCTTTCTTTTAGGTGCTTAACCAGCGGTGGTGGTAAAAACCATCCTGTGGCTCCCCACTGCCCCAGGAGAAAGCCTCCAATTCCTAAAAGCTTCTACCTCTTTCCGACGTTCTGTAGGTTCAGGCCAGCCCAGCCTACTGGGTTTCTTAAACACACTAAGTGGCTTTCTCCATATAAAATTTCCCACCCTCCCTACCTCACTTCTGGCCCTCAGCCACCCTGTTCACTTGGTATCCTCACAGACTCCATCAATCCCATTACTGCACCCTATCCTTCTCTTGCACAGTACTTTTCATCCTCACTGTTTGTGTACTTACTTACTTCATGGCTGTCTTCCTGAGAGACTGCCATTTTTGAGGGTGGGGTGTGCATCTCTGTCTCCACCTCTGGAATCTCCTTACTGTGCACAGTCCCTGTTACATTGCAGGTATTCTAGAGCCTAGAGGAGCACATTACAGAGCCACCTGCTGTGAGCAATGACTACAGTACAGTCAGTGCATTCAGCTGTGTTTTCTCTTCTAACTGCGTGAGCTAGTGGACATACCACGTCGGTGGGACACAGAGCGTTGCCTCCATCCCTGGATTGTCCTAGGGTTTAGCAACCACGTGGAATGGCAGAGAGGCTGAAGCTGGACAGGCAAAGCCACCTGGTGGGCACTTGATAACCCACAACCATAGAATTGTGGAATTTTAGAATCCAAAGGGACCTTCGATTACGTACAATATTATTCATGTTTTCTTATTTCTTTTCTTAACAGAAGGATGACTATTTTACTAGTTTTATCAGATAACTGCATATAGTCGTCCCTCAGTATCTGAGGGGGATTGATTCCAGGGCCCCCACAGCTACCAAAATCCTCAGGTCCCTTATATAAAATGGTGTAGTATTTGCATATAACCTATGCACATCTAGATTACTCATAATACCTAATACAATGTAAATGTTATGTAAGTAGCTGTTATATTGTATTTTAAAATTTTTATTATGTTTTATTGTTGTATTTTTAAATTGTTTTTCCCCCAAATATTTTTGACTACAATTGGCTGAATCCACAGATGTGAAACCCCTATATACAGAGAGCTGACTGCATTGATGTGTTCTTTTGTTGATCCTCTTTATAATTCTTTTTTTTTTTTTTTAAAAAGAATTGAAAAGGGCATCAAAACTACAGATACGATTCGTCAGCTTGCTACTTTCTGCTCGTGGATGCTGCTGAAAAAACATCATTAAAGTCTCTCTTCTCCCTGCCGTCCTGTCTAAGTCAGAGTCTCCTAAAGAGCCCGAATAGCTGAGGAAGCTCTTCATTGGAGGGTTGAGCTTTGAAACAACCAATGAGAGCCTGAGGAGCCATTCTGAGCAATGGGGAATGCTCCTGGACTGTGTGGTAATGAGAGACCCAAACACCAATTGCTCCAGGGGCTTTGGGTTTGTCACTATGCCACTGCGGAGGAGGTGGAAGCAGCCACGAATGCAAGGCCACACAAGGTGGATGGAAGAGTTGTGGAACCAAAGAGAGCTGTCTCAAGAGAAGATTCTCAAACACCAGATGCCCACTTAACTGTGAAAAAGGCATTTGTTGGTGGCATTAAAGACACTGAAGAACATCACCTAAGAGATTATTTTGAAGAGATTATTTTGAACAGTTTGGAAAAACTGAAGTGACTGAAATCATGACTGACCGAGGCAGTGGCAAGAAAAGGGGCTTTGCCTTTGTAACTTTTGACGACCATGACTCCGTGGATAAGACTGTCATTCAGAAATGCCATCCTGTGAATGGCCACAACTGTGAAGTTAGGAAAGCCCTGTCAAAGCAAGAGATGGTGAGTGCTTCTTTCAGCCAAAGAGGTGAAGTGGTTCTGGAAACTTTGGTGGTGGTCGTGGAGGTGGTTTCAGTGGGAATGACAACTTTGGTCATGGAGGAAACTTCAGTGGTCATGGTGGCTTTGGTGGCAGCCATGATGGTGGTGGATATGGTGGCAGGGCGGATGGCTATAATGGATTTGGTAATGATGGAAGCTATTTTGGAGGTGGTGGAAGCTACAATGATTTTGGCAATTACAACAATCAGTCTTCAAATTTTGGACCCATGAAGGGAGGAAACTTTGGAGGCAGAAGCTCTGGTCCCTATGGTGGTAGAGGCCAATACTTTGCCAAACCATGAAACCAAGGTGGCTAGGGCAGTTCCAGTAGCAGCAGTAGCTAAGGCAGTGGCAGAAGATTTTAATTAGGAAACAAAGCTTAGCCGGAGAGGAGAGCCAGAGAAGTGTCAGGGAAGCTACAGGTTACAACGGATTTGTGAACTCAGCCAAGCACAGTGGTGGCAGGGCCTAGCTGCTACAAAGAAGACATATTTTAGACAAATACTCATGTGTATGGGCAAAAAACTGAGGACTGTATTTGTGACTAACTGTACAACAGGTTATTTTAGTTTCTGTTCTGTGGAAAGTGTAAAGCATTCCAACAAAGGGTTTTAATACAGATTTTTTTTTTTGGCACCCATGCTGTTGATTGCTAAATGTAATAGTCTGATTGTGATACTGAATAAATGTCTTTTTTTTTTAATGTGCTGTATAAAGTTAGTCTGCTCTGAAGCCATCTTGGTAAATTTTCCCCAAGAGTGTGAAGTTAGAATTCCTTCAGGGTGATGCCAGGTTCTTTTTGGAGTTTATATACAACCTGCTTGGGTGGAGAAGCCATTGTCTTCAGAAACCTTGGTGTAGGTGAACTGATGGTTACTGTTGCGATCTGAAGTTCACCATTAAAAGGGATTACCCAAGCAAAATCATGGAATTATTGGTTATAAAAATGATTGTTGGCCCATCCTATGCAATATATCTAAATTGAATCTGGAACCAGATAAAATTATAGATGGAAATGAAGTTTGTGTATCATTCATTATCATGTGTAATCAATAAACGATTTAATACTCAAAAAAAACTACAGATACAGTAGAGACTTTAGAAGTCATAGGTGAATATTTTGAACTATTTAGTAAGAATGAACTTGGAAACTTTGATTAAATGGATATTTCACTCAAAACAGAAAACTTAAACTGATGACTAGGTACCCACCATCAGCAGTGCTCTGTCTCATCACAGGTCTAACCAAGGCAGTAAACAAGAAACAGCTATGAACCTAATGAATAGAAATGGCATAGGCAAAAATGTGTGATCCCAAATTTAAAGTTTTCCTACCAGGCATATGACTTGGACATGCGCAAACTGATGGTAAACACTCCTGTAACACTCTCTTCTTACCCTTACATTTATCACACTGCAGCTATTTCCAATGGTCTTGAAACGATATCCTTATATTTGAGGTTAAAAAGCAAGTTACAACAAAGTTCCAAGAATGAGTAATACTACGTTTTCCGACATCAATGCAATTAAATTTGAAGTTCACGATAAAAAGATATTTGTTAAAAGTCATAAAATTCATATATTTGGAAACTAAAAAAAAAAAAAAAATACATGCCCAAGTAAAAAGTAGCAATATAATCAATGTTCTTGGGGTGTTTGAAAGGTATATGACCTCTCATTCTGGTGTGGTCACAATTCTTTATTGTATTATTCTAATCTTCTATATCCTTTCTTTTATCTGCTGATTTTCTTGATCTATCACTTTCTAATAAAAAGATAATAAAATCTCCCACTTGATCTCTGGGAAAGGTCCCTCCTCAGTCCCAGGGAATGAAAGTCATGACTTGTTAATCAAGACTAGTATAAACGCGTCATGGTTATTTACACCATTGGCCAGGCGAGGAGGGGGCATGACCTCAGTTTCACCAATGAGATGTTGTGGCAATTCTGTGGAGACTAAAACATCAGACCTCAGTGGGGACAGCTTTTCCACCCTTCCTTCCTGCTTGAGATGGTGGAACAAGGTCATGATGACTGAATGGCTTCAGATTTTTAACAGGTCACTTTAATCTATTTATATTCACTGTGATTATCAATATATTTTATTTATACCATCTTCATTTGTGTTTTCTGCTAACCAGTCTTCCTCTTTTCATAAATTTTCTCCTTTTCTGTGCCTATTGGATTGCTTGATTTTCAAAATATTCTAATATTTTCCCCCTGGTGTAAGGAGTAAATTGTATTTCTCTTCTTTAAGAAATACACACACACACACACACACACACACACACACACACACACACACATACATATTATTCTTTAATAAATTGTTCCAAGCACAAAGTTATTTAGTGTCTCTATTCAGCTACTAAAAAAGACAGGAAGCTTCATTTTCCCTAGCAGCCCTCCTTCCTGGTTATTCTTGTCTAGAGTTTCATCTTCTAAACAAAATCACAGGTAAAACAATAAATTAACTCAACAGCTAATTTTAAGTTAAAAATATTTTTAAATTCCGTATTTTTTCTTGTTTTCCACCTCTTTGTTGGGGGACAGTGCTCTATGGAGTTTTCATAAAACTTGTGGTGGCTTGTACACCAAATAGCACTGGAAGATGGTTAGTCTCTCCCTCTGGAGCAGAAAGCTGGTTTGTTCCCTCACCAGAATGATAAACATAATGTCTTCCTCAGGGACAAAGACTGGGCAGGTTTACTAATAGCCCCTTTAAAAGACTGGGCTAAAAACAAACACACGCAAATGGACAAATGAAATACTGGAAGGTGCCCAAGCTTGAGGGTTTTCAGCTGTGCTCCAGCCCAGTGTGTGTACAGCATCCAGAGCTGCTCCACCTCCCCGCTATTGAACTGGGGGACTAGAAGAGCCAATGCTAAGAGAACTCACGCCACCTCTGTGCTGAGTAACAAAGTCCTTGGTCTTTGAGGCAGGAGTCTCTTGCCTTTCTGCCTGCATCTATGAAAGTGCAGCGGTACCTTGTTAACCTGCAAGTGAGGTAAAATCTTAGGCCTTTCCTAGTCCCAACACCTTTCCTTCTTTTTCACTTCTGCTCTCTCAGATAAGTATCATTCAACAGTTTTTTTTGGCAGTGAAAGTCCACAGGAGGCAAACTCTCTCGGTATTTACATGTCTGAAACCCCTCACACTTTAATAATTTGGTAGGACACAAAATTCTAGCTTCATGTTTGTCTTCCCCAAGCACTCTGACAACTTCCCTGCCGCCTATTAGCAATGGTGACGAGTCTGCTGTCAGTCAGTGCTACTTCTTCACAGGTAATCTATCTTTCCTTCCAGGCAGTTTGGAAGCGGTGTAGCTTTATCCCCAAGGCTCTGCAATTTGACTCTGATGAGGCTGGGTCTGCATTTATCTTTATTTATTCTGCTCAGTACTCTGACAGCGCTCTCAATCAGAGGGTTCACGTCTTGTTCCAATTCTGAAAAATTCCAGCCCTACTTCTCTGCCATTCCTTTCATTCTCTCCTGGAACTGCAATAATCCATACTGCGGAGCTTCTGAATCTATCTTCCTCTCCTCTTAACTGACCTAGTTTAGGTTTTATTCTGTGTGTGTCTGTGCTGCATTCTGGGTGAATTCTTCAGTAACAGCGTCTTAACTACTAATTCTCCTGTCAACTGAGTCTAGTAGTCTCATCTGCTTTTCCTTCTTTATTTTAATGAATCTATCACTCATTTCTGAGATTCTAATTTTTTTCCTTATCTACTTACCCTTCATTTCTGCCAGTTTTTGCCTCTTATTCAGAATTTTCCTTTTTTGTTTAATGGTTATTATTTCTCCAATGGTCTCTTTGAGGGCATCAGGCATTTTTTTTTTCCAAGATAGCTTTTTTATTTTACTTTAGTCTCCAGTGAATTCACATTCTGATTGCTGATTTGGATGGCTGACACCCCAAGGTCAGAGTTCCTCACGTGGCATGGAATTTGGGTGGGCAGGCTTGGCCTGCATGGGAGATAATTGTGAATGTTCTCTTGCTGATCACCCTCCCTGCTCAGAGGTTTTTATGGTTCCTCTGCTCGAACCCCTCACACAGAATGGAGTTGACTTGGTGGTCTGGGTTCTTGCCCAATGGTGATACGGCTGATGATGACATGGGGTGCTTAGCTCAGTTCCTGAGAAGGAGGCCTTGTCTCTGTCCTGTGCTCTTCCCAGGATCAAAGCTTTCTATAGGCTAGAGGTTAGGGCAGGCAGTGATTCGGGCCTCCCTTCTAGATCAGAGGACAGGACCACTACCCTGCCCGCTTTCAAGCAGAGTAATGCTCTGGCCTGGCACATTTAGTCTTACTGCCACCAGAGCTAAGCCTCTGTTTCCACCTCCCGGCTAGCGATCCTGCAGCCCACAGTGTCTGGTTTCACACTCTGCTTTGCGTTTGTCTCTGGTCTGTAGTGATATATCTTTTTTAGGGGAGTAGGGGGCACGATTATGACTTTTTCATTTTCGCTTTTTAGATTTTGATCTGTCACTGCTGTGTGTTTGGAGCAGGCAAAGTGCAGCCTACAAAGCAGCCACGACATGACTCTGTTTCCTCACACAATGGTTCTTAACTTTGTCAGGGAGGAGGACAAAGGTCTCCCCGAGGATATGAAAACAGATTCAAATTCTTGTTCCAGAAATGTATATATCTTCTTAAATACAGATTTTCATGTAGAACTTTTAGGATTTACAAACCCAATAAAGTCATTCAATGACCGGAATAAGGATCTGGTCTATGACCCAGACTCAAAAGTGTGTCATGCAGTTCAAATACAGACAGCTGAGACGACCGACTTAAGGGAGTTAAAAAATACAAAAAATCATACTTTACTAACATGATATATACATGTATGTACATATACTGTGTATACCTCGATATTGTTAAGAATATATACTTTATGATAAAATCATACATAAAGGCAATCATTGTTTGTCTTGTGGTAACTACTTTCAATGCAGCATGTTTATTTAAATTTAAAAAGTCTGCCTTTTATGGGCTAGAAGAGAAACCCCTGCCTGCAGCTCACAGTTCTGTGGTTTCAGAGACGCCTGGGGTCCGCCGAGGGCCTGGTAGTGAGTGCACGGCAGCCCACCTCCTCCCCTGCCCATTCCTGCTGCCACCCCTGCCTTTCCACAGGTGTTGAACCTGCGAGCACCTGCTAATGAGCTTTCTGGCATGTTCATCTCTGCCTCAGAGTTTGCTTTCTGGGGGGGAAACTGACCTGTGACTCCAAGACATCAACAAAATGTCAGCAACCAGTCGACATAAGAATTGGTGTCCAGGGAAACAGCAAGCCTCAAGGAGTGTAGATGGGAGTGTGGCAGACCTGGCTCAGAATCTGCCCCATCCTACGAGCGATGACAGAGGAACGGCTCTGTCAGGGCCCCCTGGCAACCTCGCACATATCCGCATAAGCCACCAAGCAAAGACTTGAACCGCAGCTCATCTGTGTCTTGAAAGGATAAAGTCTTGTGATCCTCTGGTGTTCCAGGCCTTTAAGGAGCTGCTAGGAGCCATCTCCTATCCACCTCCCTACTTCCCTGGGAGGCTGTCATGAGGCAGTTTCTCCTCACCTCCCAGGTTCTGAAGGGGTGTGAGGCTCTCTGGCTTCCCTCCTTGGAATGGTACCATAGAATATAAAACCTCTGAGCTGCAGCCTTTAACTGGCTTCTCTGCAATGGGCTATGTCACAGCTGGCATTGTAATCACCGGCTCTGTTATGGATTGACTTGTGTTCCCCTCCCAAAAAAAGATAATGTGGGAGTCCTAAACCCCAGTACCTCAGAATACGAGCTTACTTAAAGACAGGATCTTTACGGAGGTAATACATTTAAAATGAAATCATTGGAGTGGACCCTAATGCAATATGACTGGTATCCTAATCAAACTGGGGAGGTCTGAACACAGGCATGCACACAGGGAGCACACCACCTGCAGATGAAGCCAGAGGCTGGGATAACGCTCCTGCAAGCCCAGGAATGCCAAAGTGTGCCAGCAAACCACTGGAGGTGAAGGAGGCACAAAACAGATCCTCAGAAGGAATCAACCCTGCCAACACCTTGGTCTTAAGACTTCCAGCCTCCAGAACTGAGAGACAATAAGTTTCTGCTGTTGAAGCCACGCTGGCTGTGGTACCTGTTTATGACCGCCCTACTAAACTAACATACCCGCCCTTTGTTTCAGGACCCTCCTTTTGTGATGGGTGGGAGCTTGCAACTTTGGCTACTCTTCCTTCTGCATTTATGTAAGTAACAAGCTGTCTAAATCTACAGAGGCTCCTAGCCTGGCCAACGTGGCGAAAACCATTTTAACAAAAAAATACAAAAATTAGCTGGGCTTGGTGGTCCATGCCTGTAGTCCCAGCTTCTTGGGAGGCTGAGGTTGGAAGATTATTTGAGCCCAGGAAGCAGAGGTTGCAGTGAGCTGAGATCGCACCACTGCACTACAGCCTAGGTAACAGAGTGAGACCCTGTGTCAAAAAATAACACAATAAAAAACAGAGTGGCCCCTTGTATCTTTACCAGCCGAAATCGGTCAGGCCTTGGCCCTGACTGGTGTGCCGTGGGCTTGACACATGACTGAGGCCAATATGCCTCAGTTTCTTCATCTATAAAATGGAGACAGCATACTGTGGTGAAGATGACATGAAATAATATTCACAAAGCCCAGACGTCATAGTGTTCTAGACAAAACACTGATTTGGAGAGTTCAACAGATACACAAGTTTGACGGTTGTCCATGACCCGGTTATAAATTATAAGCGTGCCAAAAGGGACTGAGGAGGGGAGGGGTAAAAAGTGGGATTCTGGTTTAACAATGCTACCCCATCCTAACTGGCCCCTGCTCCGGGCCTAGCCCCCGTATATGAAATATAAATGTCTCCATGCACCTTCCAAGGTTAAAATCCTGGGAGGTTCCCTTTTTTTTTTTTTTTTTTTTTTTTTGAGACGGAGTCTCACTCTATTGCCAGACTGGAGTGCAGTGGCATGATCTCGGCTCACTGCAACCTCTGCCTCCTGGGTCCAAGTGATTCTCCTGCCTCAGCCTCCCAAGTAGCTGGGACTGCAGGTGGCCACCACCACGCCCAGCTAATTTTTCTATTTTTAGTAGAGATGGGGTTTTACCATGTTGGCCAGGATGGTCTCAATCTCTTGTCCTCGTGATCCACCCACCTCAGCCTCCCAAAGTGCTGGGATTACAGGTGGAGCCACTGCACCCGGCTGGAGGTTTCCTTTTATCGTTCCATGACTGAATAAAAATTCTTCAGCTCCCATGAATCTGTTCATAAACATTCTCAAGAAAGCTAATAATTCTCAAGAAAGCATTGTCAGTTGTTAATTCAACCCAGTACTGCAGCACCCTTATTTCAGTAAAGTTTCTTTCTGCATCAAAATATTCCCCTTACCTTAAAACTCTTCTCCTTTTTAATGTTACTGAAACAGGGTAGCACTATCATTCTCCACTTGCAAATTTTTCCAGGCTAGTCAATCATTATTAAGTCATTCTCTGGTTTCCTTCCCTTTAGGCTAAGTTACTGTGTTTTTTGGTTTTCTTTCTCAGCTCAGAAATTATTTGGAATGCATGTCAAACAGGAGAGGGTCTCTGTTTTCTCCACAAGTTCTCCACAGTTATGGCATTGTCAAGGTGACTTTGAGTCAGCTTCTAACCATGGCCACGTTTAGTTAAAGGACCACTTTGCAGCTTTTATGGCACTTGTTCTCTTTCTAGATCAGAGCACACGTCCCCTGATTTTGATTGTGATTATATGATTACCAATGGTCACCGTTTGTGGGGTGCTGTGTGCCAGAGACTGTGCCAGCCACTTCATGTGTATTATCTCATTAACACACAGCACAACTCCACGAGATAGCCACCATTACCAATCCATGTGTCCACGAGGACACTGAGACTTAGAGACCTTAACTAAGCTGTCTAAGGTCCAACAGCCAGTAAGTGGCAGAGCCAAGGTCAAATGCAGGTCTACTAAGGCCAGGCTATGCTGTTAACCCCTGTACTTTGAGGCCTCCCCACTCTCGTCTTTTTTTTTTTTTTTTTTTTTTTTTTTGTGATGGAGTTTCACTCTCGTTGCCCAGGCTGGAGTGCAATGGTGTGATCTTGGCTCACCGCAACCTCTGCCTCCCAAGTTCAAGTGATTCTCCTGCCTCAGGCTCCTGAGTAGCTGGGATTACAGGCGCCCGCCACCATGCCTGGCTAATTTTTTTGTATTTTTAGTAGAGACAGGGTTTCTCCATGTTGGTCAGGCTGGTCTCGAACTCCCGACCTTGGGTGATCCACCTGCCTTGGCCTCCCAAAGTGCTGGGATTACAGGCGTGAACCACCGAGCCCGGCCCCAAGGCCTCCCATTTAAAACTAAGGGCTCTGATGTAGCTTGGGCTGCTGTAACAAAAATACCACAGACTCGGTGGCTTGAACAACAAACATTTACTTCTCACTGTTCTGGAGGCCACAGGGTGCCAGCATGGTTGGGTGCTTGAAGGCCCTCTTCCTGGTTTAGAGATGGCGGCTTTCTTGCTGAATCTTCACATGGCAGGGGGAGAGAAAGAGAGAGCTGCAAGTTCTGCTGTCTCTTCCTCTAATGGCACTAATCCCATTCCTGAGAGATCTACCCTCATGAACTAATTACCCCTCTAAAGCTCCACTTCCTAATACCCTAGTGGTTGGATCTCAAAGTACGAATTTGGGAGGGACACAAACATTTAGTCCAAGTTTCTACTACTGTTTCCAGAAGTAGTCTATTCAGCCTAATTAACAATTATGTAAATAACACCAAATCCAACATTTATCCCTATGGTGCCTTCCATGACATTTCCTTTTCGAATGATTAATTTAGCTTTTAGATTAATTATCTTGAGTCATAAGCACTTCCAGTCTGTTTATAGCCCATGCGATCGTGTTCTTATCTAAATTCACTTAAAAATCAGCTTTACCTATAAAAAATAGCATGCACTATCAGTTACTTTGTTTTCCATCGAAATGTTTGATGGCCCTTACTTTTAATTCCATCTATTCATTTTGTAATAAAAACTGCTTATCAAATTTGGCTGGTGAGTTTGGTACTTTATGAATTCAGGTTGTTTTAACTTATGATTTCATGCTGCTTTGATATTTACAGATTTTCTCACTTTGTTCCAATTTTTGTTTTTATTCTTACTTTCACTGAGTACCAGGAGCATACTGTGTTGGCCAGAGTTAGGCACAGTTCCTACTCAGGCAACTTTTGTTCTGTTACTTCATTAAGAAACCACACGAGACTCATCAAGTTCTAAACATCCCTCTAAATTGTAATGTTTCCCATATTTGTACCTAACTTTTGACAGAATTTCTGTAAGTATTTCCATAATGAAATCATATGGAACAATCATTCTGGTAACCTTGTATTCAATTAACTTTTGATGTTTCAATATCATGGTCCCCCAACTATCTAGTGAATTCCTTGAGGACAGAAATGGATTTTCAAGTCTTTTTGAATCCTTTCATATTTGCCTTACAGCTCTAGAATGCTTTACTTAAACAGATCATGTATTTGGAAAATGGAGCTACAGTGTGCTACTTTAGTTAGACAGGGGAGTAAGAGCCCATTTGCATTGCATGTGGCTCCAAAATCTTCATGGGGACTTAGGGTCTGAAGCAAGGTTTCAATGCCCCTGCCTGAACTTAATGCTTTTTCACAAAAAAAAAAAAAGAAGCAAGCCTGAGAAATCTTTGTTAAATAAAATATCACATGTGCCTCTGGTTAAGGAAGGGCTTGCAGAGGAGGTGGCGGCCTCAGCCCAGAGTTCATAATATTTCACTGCCTTTGAACATCTGGCCAGGTATTTTATACAGAATAAAAATGCCAAAAGTACAGTATCTTCTGGGGTGATGAAAATGTTCTAAAATTGACTGTGGAGATCACATATCTGTGAATATACTAAAAAACACCACTGAATTACAGACCTTAAATGGGTGAATTGTATAGCAGGTAAATTAATCTTGCAAACGTTTTCATGAAAACAAAAAATGAATAAATATATTGACAGAAGAAATACAGAGAACTTCTCTTTTCTATTCTGTCTCTATCTCATCTTCAGAACTTACCAAACACTTAATCTTTTACGTTCATTTTTTTCGGTTAAATAACTAGTCTTTCTGGAGGCGGCATTACCGTCACACTCTATTTTTCCTCTCAGACGTAAAATATTTGCAGGAGGTTTGCCCATCTGTGTAGATCTTCCATAGCATTTCTTTTCTGTATCGTCATGGTCTTGTGCCATCATGTACTTTAAGTGAACTCACGTATGGTTTTGGTTATAATTTCTCCCAGTTAATCATGCTTACTGTGAGACAGATATAAGCCTTCCATCTGCCTCATTTAAAATGAGTGGAGATGCTAGGTGAAAACACACATAATGAGAAGCTAGGTCTGCGAACCCCTAACCTTGAATTTAACCTCAAATATACTTAGAGGATGAACTCTCAGAGCTGGCTCACAGTTTCTTGTTAATTTCACATCATCTCAGTCTCTGCAAGGCCCCCATTCTGATAGGGACTCTATATGCTGCAAGGTAAAACTGAGGCCCAGCTAGCGAAGTCACTTGAATTTGCCTGAATCCACACAAAGCTGGCCTTCTGACTGTTCCAGTGTACAGAGGAAAAGGAGCAAATTGAAATGAACCCAAAGAACTTAAGACGTGATTTCCAGTGGCTTGTTCAAAATTGGAGCAAATGTCAAACATCCAAATCTCACAGAAGGAAGGCCTTTTACAGACTGGACCCCCTTGAATCTGACCTTCCTCCTTTCTTCCTCACCCTACCCCTACCCCCATGTCCTGGTCTAGTGGTCCTTTGGGGCCAGATGCTTTGATACTACATGTTTTCGATTTCTTCCTGACCTCCATAGTGCTAAAGAATTAACACTGTTTCTGTTTTTTCTCTGCAGTGACCCCAGCCCCCCAGTAGACATTCACCTTATGCCTGTGTTGGAAGCATTGTTTTGTACCCCTTTTGGTGACAGAAATACCCAGGGAAAGTGGTTATGCTGAGTTGATTACTTCTGAAAACATTTATTGATTGATACTTCCAGAAAATAGTCTAACATCAACTCTCAATTACAGGGTAGAAATGGAGAGAAGACAAAAAAGCTAAACATGACCACTTATTTATTTACTTACATACTTACTTACTCATTTATTTATTGATTGATTTTGGAGACAAGGTCTCCCTCTGTTGCCTGGGCTGGAGTGCAGTGGTACATTCATAGCTCACTGCAGCCTTGACCTGCTGGGCTCAAGTGATCCTACAGCCTCAGCCTCCAGAGTAGCGGGAACTACAGGCAGGTACCACCATGCCTGACTAATTTTTTTTTTGCAGAGACGGGGTCTCACTATGCTGTCTAGCCTCATCTTGAACTTTTGGCCTCAAGCAATCCTCCCACCTTGGCCTCCCGAAGTGCTAGGATTACAGGCATGAGCCTCCTTGCCCCATCTTTCACCTAAATTTTTAAGAGAAAACATCATAGTTGCTCTGGGCAAGGAAAGGGGTGGCAGGGAGACAGGATGGGGAAGAAAACTCTTGGTGACCCAAGGGACTGGTGAGATTGATCACAGGTCCGGTGGCGGCTTCATGGGTAGCTACTGTATTATTATGCTGCATAATTTCAACAGAGCATATATTTTCTAAATATCAAGTACTAGATAAAAAAGAAAATTAAAGGAAAAAGGATATCAATGTTAGTCATTAGCTAGAGAAATTATGTAATGGAAGGAAATATTGGCTACGGTTTATGCATTTGTATGTTTTTAAAAATTGGCTTTTCTATATTTAAAATAAAATTCCACCTGTTAATATTAGAGTAGACTTCAACAAAAAAGACAATGAGTTCAATTTCTCCACGTTAGGGAGAAATGTGAAATGTTATTTTCTTTTGGGCCAAATTCAAATGAGTCCAACAAAGCCTACGCCAAAGTTCACAGCGGGTCCCTGCAATGCCTTGGTTAGCAGAGTGCTGTGAGTTTGGAGTGCTGCTGGAGAAATGGCCGGCTCTGAGCTCAGGCGGTGGCCTGCAGAACTCAAACATCAGACCAGAGAAAAGAACATCAGGCGCCGCTCTGTGTCTTGCCTGCAATGGCTGCTTCAGCCACTCAGACTTCCTCCCTGCTTCCCAAGAGCTCATAGGCCAGAGGGGAAAGGGAATTTTAGAGGTGTCAAGTGCAAAATGTGGCACTGTGCACCAGGAGCAGAAGCAGACCCAGCTGTCTTGGCAAACATGGCCCAAAGTCCTCAAGGGGTCAGGTCACTCTCCCCTTCCCAAAGACAGCCACACCTTCCATCCAGCAAGCAAAAGTCTCAGTAAGATCAGTCCATTCAAATAACAAAACATGGGTGAATATTTACAAGTTTTTGGCCATCTGTTGGGTCAAATGCCAAACTTAGTAGGGAGAAGAAGAAGGTACTGAGTGCTTTCTGGAGCAGCTGCTTTCCGTCCAGGGCAGCAGTGCCAGCGCCAGGCCTTCTTCTCCCTGACCAGGCACAAACTGCCAGCTTTCTGCATCCAGGTTTCCTCATCTGCAAAAGCGGGTGCTCAGCACCTCACACATTGTCACCTGACCAAAACTATCCCACAGGGTGTCACGAGGGGGACTGTGAAAACCCTGGGCCATTGTCAAGTACCTCTGAGACATGCTGGATTTAACCAAGTTAGGCAGGGGAAACCTAACAAAGATTATAAGTGAGTTTGTCCTTCCTACATTGTAAACTGAAAAGACCAAGTGCAACCCAAATTTTGGATTCCACTGGTTACTAGAGGCCAGAAGAGAACCTGGCAGGGGCATTCACATCCGACTTGCAGGGTATCTCACATCTCACCTCCACCCAAATCACTATTCCTGTTTCTCAAAATGACCGTGGGCTTCTTGCTGGTTTAAGAATATTAACTATTTGGAATCTGGAAAAGTAGCTTTTTAGTGTTCCATCAAATAAATCCTATGCAATGTCGCTGAGGCTATGAACAAGCAAAATCATCAATTAAGAGCTAAAATTCCAAGCCCTTTAATGATTAATTTCCCTTATGCAAAATGAATAATGGTTCCATACACAGCACTAGTCAGGAAACCAAATTTAGGGATGTCTTCTTTCTCCAAAAACTATCACATATGCTGGTACCTACATATGACAAAAAGGTTTTCAACTTTCACTTACCCATTCTCACAATGGAGCAAGGCAGATGGTGTTGTCCAGATTTTGTGGACGGGGAAAGGGGGTGCAGAAGCAACTGCACTCAGGGGTGCACGGTTAATGAGCGAGAGGAGAGCTGGGATCAAAGCAGAGGTGCGTGTGACTCCCAAATCTCCTGTTCAGCCATCAATCACAGCACACCAACAAAGCATCTCCTCTTCCTGACGGCCTCCCTGAATATGCTGAATGTATAACGGTGGCGGCACCTCTCCTATCTCTTAGGGACCATCTCTATTCCTATTTTAGCTTCAGTAGACTCCTACAGAATAAGACTAATATCCTTACCTCATTGAATTATTATGAAAATTAAATGGGGTAACATATTTAAAACCCTTATAAATTACAAAACTCCATACTAGGTAAGGTATAATTAACTACCCCCTTTCTCTTGCCAGGCACTGTTACTTTATCTCATCTTCAAATGAGGTCTAAGGGGGAGGTCACTCAGCCGCTACAACTCAGCTCTGCTACTTGCTAGTTTTTGTGACCTTGGGCGTTTCCTCAATCGCCCAATCTCCCATCTACAAAAAGAGGGATGATTCCAGTCGTCTGTCATGGTGTTGCCAGTGGGGATTAAAGGTGTCAGCGTCGGTAAGCGTATCGTAAACATATACATGTTTACTATTTTACTGCTCTTCCATTCATGGCCAACCACAATTTAGTTCAGATCCATCTGCTTCTCCCACCTCCTCAAGCTGTGGCAATGACCATCCCAGTCTGTAACCTGGGGAAGAGTTTACATTTCTGTTTGTGTCACTTGGTGGCAAGTGTTAGGGGCAGGGATCACATTTTCTCCCTCGTTCTATTAACCATAGTGCCTGGCGCACAGTGGAAATAACCAACATTTGCGGACTTGAATGAGAAAGTCTGTGGCTCTCTTTCATGATTTCTGGTTTCACCAGCCTTGATCTGGCTGTGGTACCAGGGACACAGGAAATGGGGAGAAGGGCCATCAGAGAATGCCGACAGAAGCGAAAACCTATCAGAAAGAGCACATGATTGGCGGTTCAGCTGAGGCGTCATTTCCCCTTAGGTACACATCAAAGGATTAAGGGGTAGACCTCCTAGGCACAAGGTATGAAGGGATTATAAAATGGACACTTGGAAATGCTGAGGGTCTTTTAGACTTTTTCTCTGAAGAGCTAAAGGGTCAAACTCAGAGCTAGAGAGGAAGAAACAAGAAGAAAAAGTGCAGGGCTCAAAGCTACAAGACAGAAAGGACCTTCGGCTTTGCTCTTGGGCTAATAAAGCAGTAATTAAGCTGTGCCCTCTCAGCTCCAAACCCCCTTCCTGCACTCTACGGTGGGAGACTGGGTTGGACTCTGCAAACTGCCCTTCAGCTAGGCCAGCAGCTCCCCAGGAGGATCCTCCAGTTGGCCCTGGAGGAAGGCTGCCGGCCGGACAGAGGAGAAAGGGCTGGCTCCATTCTGCCAGCTTTCTATTCCTGTCAGGGGCTCAGCAACACGGCTCCTATACACTGGCAACCAGGAGCAGAGGCTTCATTCACATCACAGTTTTCCCAACATCACAGCATCGGCCTCATCGAACCCCTCCTCAGAGATGCCAGCACAGCCCCTGTCCTTGGAGGTGGGTCCCAGCCCCACGGGTCCCTCCTCTGAGCTCAGAGACACCTGCTTGGCTTGTCCTCCTCTTCAGGGGTCTGGGCCTTAGCTCTGAAGGACCCTCCACTGAGGTTTTAAGTTTCATTAATTCCAGCCTCTTCGATTGTTCCCTCAGCCCCAGGGTGGGGAGCTGCTTTCTGCCATCTACCTCCATGATAACCTCCACGTTCTCCTCTTGACTTCTTAATTACCTCCCTCAAAGGCTAACATTTCTTTAGTTTAAATTCTCTGTATTAAAAACCAAACAAATGGCATGGTTTCTGTCTCCTGCCTCGACCTCACTGATGCGGCAAAGAAGGAAGGGAGAAACAAATTTATCAAGAAGTCTGTGGTCTTTATCCCTGTTATCGCACCAGATTCTAATAAAGTACAGAAAGAAAACACAGAAAAACCAATTCACAACATAAATTTAAACAAAGAACTGAAGGAACAAGGGTGTTGATAAGTTGCTCAGGGAATGACAAAGGTGCTTCAGGCACGAATCCTCTGCTCATCGAGGGGAACTTCAAAGGTACCAGCTCCCTCTCCTCTTGTGATACTCAACAAGAAAACACTCTCCAAGTACTATGCCCTACACTGAAGGGTCCCCATCCCTGCAAAGAAAAGATCCTAGGCCTACATGCCCTCAAGTTTCTTTCCCTTCCACCCAAAAAATACTCAGCGATGTCAGAAGAGAACTCCCAACTAGGTGAGGGACCTGGGAATCAATGTCAGGAAGGGTGAAGGAGTATGGAACAGGACTGGAGGTGCCTGTCCCCATGCCTGCCACGTGGAAACACTCCTTCCACAGACCCTTAGCCAGGGATTTAGCTGCTGTGTGTTCAGCCACCTGCTACCCTGTGGGGCCATCATTAATTGTGTTTGAACAATAGCAATGAGCCAGAAAATACAGCCCTACATTCTGACTGGCACAGGACTCTCCGACCATCTTCCTGTCCCCATGGCTTCTCCACTGCCCCGAAATGCCATAAAAAATTCGCCTGAGCCTGAATAAAATCGAATGAAACATTTTCCTATGGGCTATTTTTTTCAATAACTTCCTCCCCAAATAACCCAAGGATTCAAAGTGGTTTGCGGAGCCTCACCATTGTCCTTACTTGACAGGTAATATGGAGACAGCCTTTGTTCCCACGGAAAGTGTGAAGAACCTGAATGTGACAAACCACACAGGAGGTAACTTCCTTTTGGCAGAGTTGTCCACAGGTGCTGAATTTCTTTAATTTATTTATTTTTGTGGAGAGGGAGGTGGAAGACGATGGGCATAAAAAGACACCCACTGGCTCATCATTTCAGTTGGAGGTGTTTCTCTGCAACATGTTCTCTTGCTGCACCTTCTCTTACAGGTATCACTTTGCCCCTGCACTGTGAAGATAACTGTTTACTGGGTACGGCCGTGCACCTCTGTGTTTGGAAAGGCACCAGCAGAGGCCGGTGGGGGCGGGAGGTGCAGTTCCTTCATGGAGGAGCCATAGGGGTAACCTTCCAAGAGACACGGCTTTGCGTGAGCTGGAAAACCTTGCATGGATACGCCTGTTACTCACTCACGGTCGGCAGGATCCTGTCTGTTCTGTCCACCCCTCCTCACTTGTTCTGTGTGCTGCTAATGAACCAGAAGCACGGCATTGCTCAGGACGGCTTTGGTCGGCTCACCCTTTCTAGTACTGTGACAAGGAGATAAGGCAGAAAGCAGAGATGGGAGGAGGGTGAGGGCCAGAGGGAAGATTTGTGAGATGAGGCAGAGAGAGAAGAAGCGCCGATCGCCTTAAGAGGCTGGGCTGCAAGCAGGTTGTGACCAGGCGCTGTGTGGCCCAGTGTGATGGATGGTTGGTCCCTCATGCCACCAGCTGTGACTTCAAGAGGCCTGGGTACCTGCTAGGTCCTCCTTTCTGGGCTTTTCTCGCTCTGGGCCTCGTGGCAGGCAAGGAGTACTGACTGTGCTGCGAATATGAAACATTTCTTTGCTAAGGGAAAGCGAGGGGAGACAAAGCAGGGTATATCAACATCAGAGACGGCGTCTGCTGCCTTCCCCATTCTTACTGGCTATCGGTTGTTTTGAAATACGGGATCTCTCCAGGTGCCTAGCATATGTCCTCTCAGCTCTAAAGCAAAGGCACTAGATAAATCCAATAAACAAAGAAAGAGTCTGGGGTAGAGGCTCAGTCTATTTCAGGGTTGGCAGGTTGGTGAATTTTCTACTGTAAGATCACACCACTGTTTTCAAGGGATTTAAAATATTACAAGTGATAGTAGAGGCTGTGTCTCTTAAAGATTTGAACCAGTCAAAGTAAATATGGCAGGTTTGTTTTTTGTTGTTGTTGTTTTGTTTTTCTTTTCTGTTTTTTTTTTTTGGAGACAAGGTCTCGCTCTGTCACACAGGCTGGAGTATAGTGGCGTGATCACGGCTCACTGTAGCCTCAACCTCCTGGGCTCAAGTGATTCCCTGACCTCAGCCTCCCAAGTAGCTGGGACTAAAAGCATATACCACTATGTGTGGCTAATTTTTGTATTTTTTTGTAGAGATGGAGTTTTCCCATGTTGCCCAGGCTGGTCTCAAACTCCTGAGCTCAAGCAGTCTTCCCACCTTGGCCTCCCAAAGTGCTGGGATTACAGGCGTGAGCCACCGCGCTCAGCCAAATATGGCATATTTTAAAAGGCTAGAGCAGCCATATAAAAATATGAGCATCTACAAAATGTATTGTCTGCAAACACTTTGGCATCAATCGACCCATCTTAGACAGTCTTCCTTTTCTCTTGACTCATTAATTCAACAAATATGTATAGAAAGCTATGTGCGAAGAAACATGAAAGGCACACAAGATTAGTAAGATACTCTTTTTCCACAAGAAATTTACAAAGTGATGGGGAAGTAAGTATGGGTTAAATTAATTTAAATATTTAATTTAAACATTGGTTACACTAATTTAAGGAATGAAGTACAAACACAGTACTATGGGAATCCAAAGCGCAATCATGATCTGTTGGGAGGATCACAGAGTGAGGGGCTATGTGAGTTGATGATTGTATAATGGCAGGAGTGGGAAGGGAAAGGATCCTCGGGGCGAGAAGAAATGGGTCAGCATTTCCATCAGCAAACCCTGGGAGATAAAGCTGAGGTTCCTTCAAGCTCCACATGCCATGGTATAGATGAATGAGTTTTATGTCGAATGTGAAACACAACAGGTCATCCGAGTGGACATGCCAGCAGGCACCTGGATCGCCCATATCTCGAGGAGGCGTTCAGGCCAGAGGCAAACCTCGTGAGAGCAGAAGTCACGTCTTGTGTTTCTGTGATCTTCCCCACAGAATCCAACAGAGTGGTCACAGCTGTGCTCAGAGAAGCTGATGTAAGTTGCGGAGGGGACGTAAGATTTCTTCTCATATTCAATCAACTCTCAAATACAGAAAGCTGACCACCTTGTCTTGGACCACTCGGTTCTAGTGTTTTCCCTTGTTCCTGCTGTTACTTGGCCTTAGTGTGACTTTCAGACACCTAAACTTCATTTAAGTATGGTATTCTTTTCTCTAAGTTCCAGGAAATTAATTTATAACTTTGTCAAAAAAGATGAAATGGTAGGGTTTTCTTATCTAAGATTCAATGGCATTAACACCAAAAGATTCCCTCATCCATCCCCAAAGGTCCAATAAACAGAAGTCTGGGTTGATTGTGAAAGTGTAATGTTGCACTTATACTTATTTTCTTTGATCTGTGTGTTTTTTATATGTGATTGATATGCATAATTTACACCATATCACCAGAATACATTTTCACAGCTCATCTCCATGACTGCTTAGTAATTTCTCATGGTTAATTCATTTTCCAGGAATTTCACTCTAAGCTTACAATGTGCAAAGCAATGAGCTGTTAGGAAATTTAAAATAAGATGTAGGTATTCTTCAAGAGGAGTTTGAAATTTAGAGAAAGGGAAAGGCCTAAAAATGTTTATAACATAAGACATGATAGGCCAAATGCAAAAATGGAGCAAAATATCTCTTCCCTCAAAAAATTAAAGTGCTGGCCAGCTTCAGTACAATGTACAAAGCTGTACTTCCACTGACTAATATAAAGTCTACTGGGATGAGGACTGCACATATGGGATTGAGGGGTAAAAGATGAATGTGAATAGTGCATGAGGCCCATTTCCTACTCAAATCCACATCAACAGATGCTATGCTGGGAATATTTTTCTCAGAGATGGGGATGGATCTGAATGAATGCTCACATTCCCAGCCTGTCCCTCATCAAACAACGAACACCTCTGTGCTAGACGACACCAAGGTACAGCTGGTAGCTATGACCTCAGTAACTGTGGAGCACTGTGCCAGAGCTGAAGGGCTCTCAACCGGGCTGGCTGGGTGCCTGAGACTCTATGCAAGTGAATCTACATCTCCAGGAATAGTGCTGGGCATCAGTCTCCTCTGAAAGCTCCACAGAGAACTTGGACACATACGGTGCATGGGGAAACACTGCTACCAGCCTCATGCAATGTGTTTATCTCGCTCTATAAAAGGCCACTGGTCATCTATGCATCATTCTTCACTATCACATTTGCCTGCACTGAGATCCAGTCCAGTAGCACCACCAACTTTAAATACATTATCTAACATTACTGAGCACTTAGAGTATGTCAGGTACTGAACTGAGAACCTTACATACATTTTGATATTTAATCTTCAAAAACCACCTTAGGAGTGAAGTACTATATTGGTTTCCCAATTTATAGATGGAGAAACCGTAACTTGCAGTTAAGTGACTGTGCAGTCTCATAGCTATGCAGGGTGGGGCTGCGGATGGAAACGCTCTCTGCTTGGCATCCAAGTTTATGCTTCTAATCACTAGGATATAGCAGCTCATTTATATGTATGGAATATTCAATTTTTTAATGTGCTCTGTATCTATGCACAAACAGCTAGTTGACACATACTTATCCATAAAATAGAGAAAAATAAAATATCTACTTGGAAATGATTTACCAAAAGGTTATATATTCAGCACTTATTTTCATAAAGCATTTTGCTGCTTATCTCTGTCCAATCTCAGCAACCAGACTCTTAGCAGGATACCACTGGTGTTCCCAGATATGGCAGGTTGCAATGTGCTTCGTCTAACACTTAAGGAATCACTGCAGTGAGCCTGCTGCATTACAGCACATCTGCAGAGGTAGCCGCACTCAGTGTACAAATCGAGCAGGCTCTGAAAAACATGGTACTGCCAAAGCGAAGCTGCAGGGTTCTTGCTGTCTTCAAAATAAAAGATGATTCTTACATTGTTCAAGAGAAGATTACTGCCAAAGACAAACTAGTTTTCTGAGCTCTGTCCTCTGATAAGCATGTACTGCAATCCTGCCACATGAATACTAATTTTACCACTAAGGATCAATATTTATGCAGCTCTAGCTACCTGCCAAGTGCTGTCTTGGGGCTTTCTGTTAATCCTCACACCAACCCCTCATCACAGCTGAGGAGACTGAGGCACAGTGAGGCTAAGAAATTTGCCCAGGGTTAAGTTAGGAAGCAGCCGAACTGGGGTTGGGGGACCTAGGACGGGGGGAGCTGGCTCTAGCTCTTGGCTTTTTACCACCTCCTCCCTATGGACCAGGCTGTGTGACAGGCCTTGGGATTATAAAGGTATCAGAGATGCAGTTCCTTGAGAAGCTGAGAAACACACCCATCACCGTGGAGCTGGGACATGGAGGGCCAGTTGTCTCTTTAAGTCTGAATTAGCAACATAGTAAAGACTAACCTAAAACTGTCAAGAAAGACTATTAGGAATGGCTCCCTCTCATACAGTATTAATTCCTCGAAAATGGCCCCAAAGAGCTGATTGCCTATGGCGATGATGTGAATATAGACAAAGGTGTAGAAAGACAGGCAGGCGTGGCCTTAGGATGAAAAACAGAACTGAAGGCTGTAATGCCAGGTTGCCCGGGGATCACAGATGAGGCAGTTGGATCCCCACAAAGAACTGCACGCGAAAGAACCTAGCAAGTCTGGAGCCTGGTGGACAATCAAATAAACGGTGATTACTGGTTAGGAAGCACTTGGAGAAAGAGTCCTATGATGGAAACAGAGGCCCAGTAGGCAGAACCAGTGGAACCCATTGGTTGAACAGAAGACATGGGTTTTCTTTCTTCTTAGCAAGGGAAAAGGGCAGAGGTCAAAGAAAAGCGAAAAGGTGAGCAAGCTGGCAGGGGAGGGAGAGGGCAGCCACCAGAAGCCCATTAGCAGAGGTCCCTAGGACTTTGCTTTTATATGCAGACACTGCAAAACCAACAGCTCATGGGCCAAACAGTGTGCTGCTTTGTGTTTTAATCTGAACAATTTGTCTACAGAAAAATCAGGAATGTTAACACCTTCCAGATTTCTAACTTATCTTTTTAAAAAATAAAAGTCAAGGCAGATTGGCCTTGGGCTTCCAGGAGGCCACAGCGTGGTCCCGAGGAGAAGAGGCTGGCAATGCCCTGCTGCCCACGCCCACACCACTTCCCCCGCCCTTCACCCTGGGCCCCTTAACATGTTTGCATCCCCTGCTTGGCCCATGTGCACATTTGAATAGGTGACCCTAAGTTCAGATACTAAGAAGAGGAGGGAATATGGCTGCCTTGGGGTAGAACAAGGACCCATGTTTTACAGTAAGGGGAAACTCGATTATGAAGAGGCCTAGCTGTCACCTTCACTGGGGAGTTAAAGGCCAGAAAGGACCACTAGCCCATGAGTGATTCCAGCCTTCTCCCACCTCCCATTCCCACCACAGTCAGGGTTTTACCTATCTTAAAATATGTTGTTTCATAATTTACATACACTATCCCATTAAACAACACGTATTAAAAGATATATTACCTTATTTAACAACCTTATGAGATAAATATCATTGTCCCCCTTTTACAGATGAGAGTGTTGAGGTTTAGAGAGTTATGATCCCAAGGTCACACAATGGAGATCTGAACAAGGGCAGTCCACCCCCGGAGCTCATGAACTTAAGGTAGTATGGGATATTTGACCCAAAGAATGTTAACAGATGCTCTCTTTAAAAGGATTTTTCATGTCAAGTAAGTTAGGGAAATATTCGTTTCAGGTTTCTTTCATAAGATTCTCAGAATCTTTAAAATACTAATGGGCTGTGTGAATCTTCAAGTAAGAAAATCTATGTCTCCAAATTGAGTCATGAAAACTTTGCCAGAAACACAGCATGAAATATGCTGTGGTGGAAAGATGGCTTCTAAAGCAAGATGAATGAAAACTTGTAATTATGGGTTGAGCAACGTGGATTTTCTAAGCCAAATCAATTATTTGCAAACCTTACATTTTTGAAAACAGTATTTCATGTATAGATGTCTATTAGCTTATGATCCCACCTTTTCCTCACTAACCTAAAATCTCAATTAAAATAAATCCTGTTGTTATGATTCTATTAATCTGAAATTCTATGAACGGTGACTCTAACACTTCAAACATAGCAAGATAATAAAAAATAATCTCACATATGTATAGGATATTTTGACATTTACTGTTTTACATATTCCTTAATACCACCTTTATGAAGGAGAAATGATTTTGTTTCCATTTTATAGATGAAGAAAATTAGGCCCAAAAAGGTTAAATGAATTGACAAAGGTCAAAGAGCAACCCAGTAAGTGACAGTACATCTTTAAGGGTTGCCAGATATTAATGTACTGACTAAATACTGCTACAGTTTTTATAATAAAAGCATTTAGTTCTCTTACTTATCGGGAGATTATTCATATTATTAAGTCATATAGCTTCCATTAGCCACACATTTTGATAATCCCATTCCTCAACCTTGGTAGGTTATAGAGAATATATTATAATCAGTCTTCTAAGTAATGTGGTTTAGCATATCAGGATTACAAGGACTTTAGTACACCAAAAAGCCAATCCTAAGTGTCAACAGTCTTTAAAACAGAAACATAGCTACCAAAAATTTAAGGAAGAATTAACAACAACCCTTCTCAAACTATCCCAAAAATTTAAAGAGGAAGGAGCACTTCCAAACTCATTTTATGAGACAAGCATTATCTCATTCCTAAATTAGGCAAGGGTACTACAAAAGAAAGAAAGAAAGAAAGAAAAGTACAGACAAATATTTCTAATGAACATGGATGCAAAAATCCTCAGCAAAATACTAGTACATTAAATTCAGTTGCACATTAAAAAGACCATACACCATGATCAAGTGGAATTTCTCCCTGGGATACAAGGATGGTTGAACATACACAAATCAATAAATGTGATTCACCACATTAACAGAATGCAGATAAAAATCATGCAATCATCTCAAAAGAGGTAGAAAAAGGATTTGACAACATGCAACCCTTTCATGATAAATACAATCAATAAATTAGACACAATAAAAACCATATATGACAAGCCCACAGTAAACATCACACTCAAAGTTGAAAAGCTGAAAGCTTTTCCTCTAAGATTAAGGAAAAGATACAGATGCCTACTCTTGCCACTTCTATTCAACATAATACTAGAGGTGCTAGCCAGAGCAATTAAGCAGGAAAAAGAAGTCAAAGGTATCCAAATATGGCAGGAAGATAAATTGTCTGTTTGAAGATAATATGAGCTCACATATAGAAAACTCTAAAGAGTCACCAAAAATCTGTTAGAACTAATAGACAAATTCAGTATAGTTGCAGGATACAAAAATCAACAAATATCAGTTGTGTTTCTATATACTAATAATAAACTACCTGAAAAAAAATCATTATGGAAAATAGTACGCTGCTTCCTCCATAAATCCATAAATTGAAAACAGAACTACCATATGATCTAGCAATCTCATTTCTAGGCATATATTCAAAGAAAATGAAATCAGTATTTAGAAGAGAGATCTGTACCCCATGTTCATTGCAGCATTAGTTATACTAGCTAATATGTGGAAACAGCCTAAGTATCATTGATAAATGAATAAAGAAATTGACATATATATGTGTATATAAGTGTTTATATGTAAATATAAGTATATATGTGTGTGTATTCCATATATAATGGATTATATTTGAATATTATATATAATGGGATATTATATATATTAGACTATTATTCAGCCACAAAAGGAAGGAAATCCTGCCATTTGTAACAACATAGATGAACTTGGAAGACATTACGCTCAGTGAAATAGGCCAGACATATAAAGACGAATAGTACATGATCTCACTTACATGAGAAATCTTTAAAAAGTTGAACTAACTGAAGCAAAGAGTAGAAAGGTGGTTGCCAGGGGATGGGGGTGGGGGAATGGGGAGGTGTTGGTCAAAGGGCACATACTTCTAGTTATAAGATTAATAAATTCTGGGCATCTAATACACAGTATGGTTACTATAGTTAATAATATTGTATTGTTTACTTGAAATTTGATGAGAGCAGACGTCAGTTGTCCTTACTATACATACACTTACACACACAAAAAAAATGATAACTGAGTGGTGATGGATATGTTAATTAATTTGATTGTAGTAATCATTACACAAGGTATGCAGACATCGCATCATCACATTGCATACCTTGAATATATAAATTTTTGTCAATTAAATATTTTAAAATAAAAACCAGCAAAATAGAAATATGAAGATTTTTAGCCTACAGAAAAGTAAATATTTGTTTTCCCCACATAATTCTGCTTGCTTTTCATATATAGCTTATATATATGAATCTTAAAGAGCTTTAGCACCATGTTTTGATATGAAAAAGAATATGGGAAGAAGGATATTACAATAAGAAAAATAATGCATTTTTCTTCTCTATGCTGCCTCTTGTAATTTAGTTTCTGTGTAATCTAATTCTTATTCTGATCAGAGAAGAAGGAACTGAAAATCAGGATTTTATTAACACCATCGATATCTCCCCACTCTCTGGCAAATGCACAAACATAGGCCTCTGGTTTCTAATTATGCATTTCACAGATGAGTTTCCATGGCTGCTCTCCATGCAGATGATGAATAAAGTAGCTTTTGTTTTCAGAGATTTATTTCGAAGACCTCTTCATTAAACGCTATTTGGGGGCAGATGCATATCTATGGAAGGTTAAAAAAAAACATGCTGATAAAACAGCCATCAAGGAAATGTGCCACTGACAAAATCTAACATGGCCTGTCTTCAAATAATACATTTTAAATATATAAACATACACACATGCACAGGCACACACGGGAAGGAGAGAGGGAAGAGGGGAGAGAAAAAGAAAGAGGAAGGCTGGGAGGAGGAATTAATTTTAAAAAGACCTTTGAAACCACATTTAAAATATATGAAATTCCTAACCAGAGTAATCATTACTTGCAAATATGGCTGAGTGCTGAAAAGTCAAGCTAAAAGGTCTGCTTGTTTGTTCTGATGGTGGGGTGCTGGGGTGGGGGAGAAATGATGATGTTGCAAAAATTACCCAATTCTTTAAGGGAATCTAGCAATTCTGCTGTTTTTAATCATACACATTTGATGAATGGGTTTCTAAAACTAAAAGGAAGAGTGTAGAATTCTGACAGGCAGTGGGAAGGGGCTGACTCTACGCCAACTTCTTATGCTGTCGGGCAGGAACTCAGGGCCCGCAGGGTCCTCATCCGAACACTCAAGGAGTGTGTGTGTGTGTGTGTGTGTGTGTGTGTGTGTCAGAGAGAGAAAGAGAGAGAGAATGTCGGGGGGAGCTAGCTAAGGGGAGAAACTGGAACTAATGGCTATTCCATTACAGAAACAGAGATACCTCCTGGAAAAATCCTTCCTTCTGTTTTTGAATTCCATCACAAATTGGATAAAAAAGCCATTGAACCTTTAAGAAACAGCAATAGTTTTCTCAGGAAGTAAGTGCAAAATGCATCACATTCAGGCACACAAAGAAGGACCCTTGCAAAACAGACTTCCCCAGTGAGAATAGCCAGTTGCCTGTGCCCGGGATGGAACAGACTGCAGGGTTATCACATTCAGGAACGATATGAACCAGACTGCCTGGGTTTAACCTGGCTTCCTCACTTACTTTCAGAGTCCTGTGGCCTTAGGCCTGTTATCTAACCTTTCTAGGTCTCAGTTTCCTCATCTGTAAAATGGGAATAGTAACAATATCTATGTAATAGGTTTTTAAAAAATACATAAAATGCTTAGAACAGTACCTGGAAGTAAGGCTTAAGGATCTGTTAAACAAACAAACGACTCTAATTGTAAATATAGGCAGGTTGAGTGAGCTGGTTTCTGTTAGGGAACAATTTTATTTATTAGTAATGTAAATGGCAGCCATGTTTCTCTGGAAGATTTTAAGCTGCCATACAAATGAAATCTCTTGGAAGCAGAGCCGTCTTTATTCATTTTATAAATAGGGAGACTGAGGCACAGCAGAGAACACTTAAGCATGTATGATTCTTCCACAAATTCTGCAGAATGCCTCTCACCTGGCTGCAGGTGCTCAATAAACACTGGTGGACTGAGCTGAACTTCCAGAGGTCCAAGACCTATCTGCTCATGCAAACAAGATAGAAATGTTCTTCTTTATTCTAATTTCACTCATTTTAGAGGTTCTAATTGCTAAGGAAGAACAGTGATATATTAGGCATAGTGACCATTTTGTTTTTACAATAACTTTTTAATTTTAAGCATGAGAATTATGTATTGGACACAGGGACCACTTATCCATTGACTGGTAAGATGTTTGTTTAGAGGGTGTCACTGGTCTAATGATGAAAGAATGAGGGCTGGAAATCATCAGACACACCACCACAGCACATTATTTTTTACAGCCCATTAGGCCTTGGCTAACCCATTTTAATACAACTCAAATGTCTCTATGTGAGCTTCACAGCTCACCCTGCAGGCCTGCAGGGAAACACACTCAAGCAGTCAAAAATCAACCATCATGGAACCTGCAAGTTGAACACTGTTGCAACCACAATGATATCATAAACTTCAGTATTCCATGTCTCAGAGTTTAACATAAAGAGCTATTTTGCTGAAAGTGCAAACAAAAATTTTTTAACTTTGTAGAAGTTCATCTTTTTAATTTGGTGAAATCTGACTAAAAGCCCAGCCATGGAGCCATGGAGAGTTTTACATCAGTATATACACACAAACTTAGAGTTATCTGGTAGCAATGGCTCTGCCAGAAATTGTCAGCATGAACTACATGAAATTTTTAATAAGTGACTGGCTTTTGATACCTAAAAAAGCAATTTCGTATGGGCCACCTGATAGTTGTGTACCGTAGGACAGATGTCTAAATTCTCTAAATGTCAGTTCCCTCATCTGCAAAATGGGACACTCTTCGTACTTTCTTTATGGTGTTATTGTAAAGATTCTAGGAAATACATGCAAAGTATTCAGCATAGCCACCGTGGGTCCATAAGTACTTAACATAGGTAAGTCATTATTTGTAGTCATTATGTTAGCATCCAGTTATGTTGCTAAACCGGAAGTATGTTACTGTGACCATTTATAGAAGCGCATCAGGAATTAACCGGAAGTATGTTACTGTGACCATTTATAGAAGCGCATCAGGAATTAACCGGAAGTATGTTACTGTGACCACTTAGAAAAGCGCATCAGGAATTAACCGGAAGTATCTTACTGTGACCATTTATAAAAGCACATCAGGAATTAACCGGAAGTATGTTACTGTGACCATTTATAGAAGCGCATCAGGAATTAACCGGAAGTATGTTACTGTGACCATTTATAGAAGCGCATCAGGAATTAACCGGAAGTATGTTACTGTGACCACTTAGAAAAGCGCATCAGGAATTAACCGGAAGTATCTTACTGTGACCATTTATAAAAGCACATCAGGAATTAACCGGAAGTATGTTACTGTGACCATTTATAGAAGCGCATCAGGAATTAACCGTAAGTATGTTACTGTGACCATTTAGAAAAGTGCATCAGGAATTAACCGGAAGTATGTTACTGTGACCATTTAGAAAAGCGCATCAGGAATTAACCGGAAGTATGTTACCGTGACCATTTAGAAAAGCGCATCAGGAATTAACCGGAAGTATGTTACCGTGACCATTTAGAAAAGCACATCAGGAATTAAGGGCCTGGCTCCTCAGAAAGAACCACTCCATGTCCCAACGTGCAGAGGCAGGACACCTCACGATGCCCTTCTTTCTTTTTGCTCCCTCTTCAGCATTAACAGCAGTTTCAACAAAGCAGCTGTCAGCTGGAGGGGGATGCCAGGGCTCAGAGCAAACAAGCATATACCCAGCAACTGGCACACACCTGGCTGGAAACTGCCTGTGTGCGATGCGGAGAGTTCTGCTGCCCTCTGGGACGATGTTCAGCTTCTTCAGCAGCAGCACTAGCCGGCTAGACATATGACAGACTTTGTTTTTTTATGTAAAAGCAAAATATAACTCATTTAAAGGCTTTCTGAAATCCCCTTCCTGCCCACGATGGCCGACCCTCATTTCTCTATGTGTGTGCGTGGGTTTTGTTTTTAACTTCCTTTTGTATTCCTAGTCAAGAGAGCAGTAAATGTTCTGAAACTGTTTCTTGGGTGTTGTTTTTCTCTCCTCAGCTGCACTCGGTGCTAAGGCAGGAGCCATCACCGGTGCTGGGCACATACCAGGCTCTCAGTAAACAGATGGTGAATAATTGATGCTGCAAATCCAGTTGTGAAAATGGCTTCTTGTCCTCTGTAATTTTGCACACCTTTAAGGCTGCAAGCCTTCAAAACAACAACCATGGGCCTCGTCAGCTTCCTGTAAGCTCTGTCATGCTGCTGTGAATTCCAAATTCTTAATTTCATGCACACAGAGGGAAAACTTTCCAGAACCAATGAATAGACAACTTTCCCAAAGGTTCTGTTTATCGTTCATACTAAACAAATGTGGTTTTTGGCAACCTATGTCTTCCACTAATTGTGCATATTGACAGATAGATATTTATATCCACAAATGGTAACAGAGGATAGGAACCAGTATCCAATGTGGACGTGAAGAGGGCTGCCTGGACTGGGAAGGGTGCTGCCTTTCCCTGAGAATGGTTTCCCAACTTTCATCTCAGGAATGGCGGCGTCCAGAGCATGACGATCAATCACATCCTCCTAGCACTGCCTAGCACTATCCCTGCACACAAAGTCATCTCTCAGGCAAGTTCTCAGTTACCCTTGTGATATGAGCGAGGGAGGCATTATACCCACTTTACAGAGAGAAACTGAGGCAAATGTGGCTGCAGAGACACACGGGGGCTGCTGCTGCTGGCCATGTGGGTATCTGGGCTTTAGGTGGGTGCAGCTGTTAGGACAGGGGCACCTTGTTTCTGTGTGGTTGTTTTTCTGGTTGACCAGACTACAGTATAATAAATATGCCTCAGAGCGCCTCCATTTCTTCAAATGAAAAATGAGAGTAACACAATCTAGAGAATCAAACCGTCTTAAACTCTACCCTTTCTTGCTTTCCTTCCTTCCTTCCTTCCTCCCTCCCTCCTTCTCTTTTTTTTTTTTTTTTTGAGACGGAGTCTTCCTCTGTCACCCAGGCTGGAGAGCAGTGGCATGCTCTCGGGTCACTGTAACCTCCATCTCTCGGGTTCACGCCATTCTCCTGCTTGAGCCTCCTGAGTAGCTGGGATTACAGGTGCGCACCACCACGCCCGGCTAATTTTTGTATTTTTAGTGGAGATGGAGTTTCACCACGTTGATCAGGCTGCTCTTGAACTCTTGACCTCATGATCCGCCTGCCTAGGCCTCCTAAAGTGTTGGGATTACAGGCATGAGCCACTGCGCCCGGCCTACCCTTTCTTTCTATAGGCCCTATGTTCTGACAAAGCAAAAGCAGACAAAACTAAAGGCAGAAAACAACAACAACAACAAAAACAAACAAAAAACAGGATAGAATGAGTAACTGATCCAAATGTGAGGGCAATATTTTTTTAAAGCTATTTTATTTTTAAGTAGATTTGCAGAGATGCGTAAAGTCTTATTTGCATCATTAGTAAGTGACAGCATTGCCATGGTGATTACTTATTTTCAGAAAAGAAATAACCATAGAGAAATCATTAATAACTCAACAAGATACGAAGTGCTGGTCAGGGACTGTGAGGCACACACATCCCTCCACATGCCGTATAAAGCATGTTCTAATGGACAAAGAAAGATATTGGTTTGGGGGAAAAATAACTTGTTCCTTCTGCTAAACCCAGAGAACAGGCATTAAAACCTCATAATAGTCTGGGCATGGTGGCTCACGCCTATAATCCCAGCACTTTGGGAGGCTGAGGCAGGTGGATCACCTGAGGTCAAGAGTTCGAGACCAGCCTGGCCAACATGGTGAAATCCCATCTCTACTAAAAATACAAAAATTAGCTGGGTGTGGTGGTGGGCGCCTGTAATCCCAGCCTGTAATCCCTGCTACTCGGGAGGCTGAGGCAGGAGAATCGCTTGAACCCAGGAGGCGGAGGTTGTAGTGAGCCGAGATTGCACCGCTGCACTCCAGCCTGGGAGACAGAGCAATACTCCATCTAAAAAAAACAAAAAACTTCATAATAAGATGGGCAAAGTCATTGGTAAAATGTAACAGCAGTGAAAAATGTGTTCTGAAACATTTATTTACACCTTTAAGTACATATAGCAACTTCCAGCAGGGCAAGAAGAAGTTTATACACAAGCCTTAATATACTCACTTAAATACATGTAAAGCATTTATTTAATAAACTAACATGGACGTTTATAGCTATAATAGTTAGGGCAATGTTTTCTATATGTCATGTACTGTGCTAAGAATTTTATGTGTATTGAAACTCACTAATCCCCACAAAACCTTATCCTCCACGTAAGCATTAATATTATTCCCATTTTACAAATGAGAAAACAGGCCAGAGAAATGTCATAAGGCAGTAGAGTTGGGATGTGAATTCAGGCAGTCTGGCTCTAGAGCTCACGTCTTGCCACTGTTTTCTTTTTTTTTTGTTTTTTTTTTTTTTTTTTTTTTTTTGAGACGGAGTGCCGCTCTGTCTTCCAGGCTGGAGTGCAGTGGCACGATCTGGGCTCACTGCAAGCTCTGCCTCCTGGGTTCACACCATTCTCCCGCCTCAGCCTCCCAAGTAGCTGGGACTATAGGCGCCCACCACCACGCCTGGCTAATTTTTTGTATTTTTAGTGGAGATGGGGTTTCACTGTGTTAGCCAGGATGGTGTCGATCTCCTGACCTCATGATCTGCCCAACTCGGCCTCCCAAAGTGCTGGGATTACTGGGGTGAGCCACCGTGCCTGGCCCACTGTTTTCTTTTTTCTTATTATCTTTTTATTTGAAAATAACGTTAAAAAAAATTGAAAAGGTACTAATTCCACCTTCCAGCCCCCACCCCATGAATCCAGGCTTTTTCACAGCCATTCACACATGGAACGAGACACAAGCTGGGTACTGTGAAGAGGAATTTGGTTGAGCATAACCTCAGCGCAGCCCAGAGTTCCCTCCCTGCCCAGTGAGAAGGGGCCACAGTCTAAGCTGCTATGGGTGGGTTAGGGAGCAGTGGCTGGGGACCCTGGCTGAGAACTTCTCTTGGACACCAGCACCAAACAGGTGCTGAAGAAGGTACTGGGGCAGACACAAGAGGGCTTAACCATTATTCATTCTTATCAAAATGAAATGGAAATATTATCACATTTCAGGTAACATTAAGATTAATATTTGCAAGAGAACACAATAAAAGATACAATGGCACCTGTAATCCCAGCACTTTAGGAGGCCGAGATGGGCGGATCACGAGGTCAGAAGATTGAGACTATCCTGGCTAACACGGTGAAACCCATTCTCTACTAAAAATACAAAAAATTAGCCAGGCATGGTGGCAAGTGCCTGTAGTCCCAGCTACTTGGGAGGCTAAGGCAGGAGAATGGCGTGAACCCGGGAGGCAGAGCTTGCAGTGTGCTGAGATCGCACCACTGTACTCCAGCCTGGGCGACAGAGTGAGACTCCATCTCTCAAAAAATAAATAAAAATGAATAAATAAATAAATAAATAAATAAAAGATACAATGGCAATCCAATTATTGTTTACTCCAAAGCTACTGCTAGATATTGGTATATCCCACTTTCCGGATCTATGTTTATCAGAGATTCCACAGTCTTGCTCTCTATAGTTTTAGTAAGCAGTTTAAAGAAGAAAATGAATGTAATTAAATCCTCCAGAAAGGACTGTGAAGAGAGAAATTAAAAAAATCTTAAAAGTACATCAAGTTCAACAAGATATTCCAGGCTAATCTTCTATTTTCCCTGCCCTGGCCACGAGTTCAGTCTTTTCTATAATGAGCCCTGCTTCCTTTTAATGGAGTGTGGTATTTAGAAACCAAGATGTAAGTACTAGGGTAGCTCAGTGCTATTGTTGTATTGTGTCCAGGCCCTCAAAGCTGGCAGAGCTAGGAAGGGACACACACACACACACACTCACTCTCTCTCTATTTTCAGTGTAAAAAACCATGAGTTTATATCAATACCTTGGATTCTAATCTAATAATCAGGGTTTATTATTGCTTCTCTGTTTTCCATATCTGTAATTATATCTATAATTACCTTCTCAAGCAGTGAGAAATCTGACTCCCATTATTTTCAATATATTTACTCTTCTGCTCAAGCTAGAATTAATAGAAGGTAACTTCAGAATTGCTCACCCACACCATTATTTTAAAAGTACCCTCCTGGCTAGGATTCATTGTTTTTTTACAGTCTCTTTCTGGTAAAATTTATATACATGAAATGTCTAAATCATAACGCACATTTCCATGGGTTTTTATATAGGTGTATACCCTTAGAACCTAGCCCCATCAAGATACAGAGCATTTCCAACACCCTCAGGAAATACAGAGACTGTCTAAGAATCATGGAGACATCAAAAGGACATAGGAGGCAGCTGGAAAGGGCTCCCAGTGGCCAAATCTGGGAAGATAAGAGGTTCAAAATTAAAAAAAAATGATAGTAAGGAATTGCTACTCATTGAATAAAATTCTATTTATTTAGGTATTTACTATCTTCAAAAGTCCTTTTGATATTAATACAAATTACTGAATGAATACATAAAGTTGGGAGAGGAAAAGCTCTTCCTTATAAAAGAATGTCAATTACTGTATTAGGGTTCTCTAGAGGGACAGAACTAATAGGATATATATATATGTTAATATATGATATATACTTTATATATATAATATATCATATATAGAGTATATATCATAGATATATACTCTATATATGATATATATATGAATGAAGGGGAGTTTATTAATATTAACTCACATGATCACAAGGTCCCAAAATAGGCCATGTGCAAGCTGAGGAGCACGAAAGCCAGTACGAGTGCCAAAACTGTAGAACTTGGAGTCTGATGTTTGAGAGCAGGAAGCATCCAGCATGGGAGATAGATGTAGGCTGGGAGGCTAGGCCAGTCTAGCCTTTTTACATTTTTTTCTGCCTGCTTTATATTATAGCCATGCTGGCAGCTGATTAGTTGGTGCCTTCCCAGATTAAGGGTGGATCTGCCTTTCCTAGCCCACTGACTCAAATGTTAATCTCCTTTGGCAACACCCTCACAGACACACCCAGGATCCATACTTTGCATCCTTCAATCCAATGAAGTTGACAATCAGTATTAACCATCAGAATTATAAATACCTTACAGAAAACATTAATGGATGCTAAAACCAGTGAATAGAATGTGATGAGACTCAATCGTTTTAAAGTACCACTCCATAAATAACTTAATTATAATGTGTAAAGGGGAAAAGGGTAAGTTTGTGGTAGAGAAACACGGTGTGCATCACCTTAACCTAAAGGTCAGAGCTCTCACCACCAATATGGGGGCAAACTGACATCATGCCCCTCCTGACACAATGCATTGAAAAGGACAAAACAGCACTTCTGTGGTATTCCACTGAAAATGCACAAGATGAAGCCAAAAAATTGTATAAAACAGAACAAAATAGAATTTTATGTCATGAGGAAGGTTCTGCCAATTCAGATGAAAGCCCATTCTACTATGTTGACCTGTAATCTTCAAAAATGTCACGATTAACTAACACAAAGAAGGGCTGAGAAACTATTTCAGATTCAAGGAGACCAAAGAGCTATGACAACAAAATACATGTATAAAATTGTATTGAATCCTGGACCAGGAAGAAAATAGCAATTAAGGACACTATGGGGAGAGCTGACAAAATTTGAATATGGGCTTTGGATTAGATATTGAATCAACATGAAATTTCCTGACATATATTAACTTTACTGTGATTATGTAAGAAAAAGTTCTTGATCTTAGAAAACACATGATGCATTTAGGAGAAGAGGGTATGTGTCTCCCATTTGCTCTCAAATATTGGGTGGAAGAGGGAGGTACAGATACACAGGTGATCCTCATGATGCCCAGATTCTGCGTGCACTAATTCATCTACTTGTGAACATTTATTTGTAACCTCCAAATCATTATTTGCCATGCTCCATGGAGGAGTGAAAATTTTGAGAAACAGAACACACATGTTCCCAGCTGATGTTGAACAAGGTGATGGTCTATGGTCTGCATTCTTGTTTTATTTCGATTAAGTGCCACATTGTTTGGAATTTTGTGCTTTATGGTGGTGGTTTCACTGTTTAAAATGACTTCCAAGCATAGTGCTGAAGTACTCTCTGGTGTCCTTAGCCCAAGAAGGCTGTGATGTGTCTTACGGAGAAAATACTCATGTTTGAGTTATAGTGCGATTGGTCAAGAGTTCAATGTTAATGAACCAACAACACACAGCTCACCCTTGAACAACTTGGGTTTGAACTTCACTGGTCCACTTATATGTGGATTTTTTTTTTCAATCAAACGTAAACGGAATATATAGTATTCCCTGGATCCTAGAATACAGAAGCTGACATTTTGTATATGCAGGTTCCACAGGGCCAACTACCGGACTTGAGTATGTACAGGTTTCGTTATCTGCAAGAGGTCTTGGAACCAATTCTCTGAGTACACTGAGGAACAACTGTAATTTAAATAAGGTACCACTAAACAGAAACACACATAAAACAAAGTTATTCATTAAATGATTTGATGAAAAGGTGATCAGAAGCTCCAAGGAACCTAATCCTGCATTTCCTCTAGGAACTAAAGCTCAGTATTCAGTGTTGGGGGCAAGTTTATAGAACATATTTACTGCAAATAATGAGAATCTACTGTACACACACAGATACACAAAATCTGAGTAAAGGGTATTTTTTTCATTGCCACAAAGTATTTCTTTTACACATTCTGCATAATGCATTTAACCACTCTCTTCCTGAGGGAGGCATAGGGTGTTTTCAACCTTCTACTATTATAAATATGACCGCTCCATACAGTAGACCTATTTTTCTCAAAAGACTCTCCTAACGCCTGTAATCCCAGCACTTTGGGAGGCCGAGGCGGGTAGATCACGAGGTCAGGAGATCGAGACCATCCTGGCTAACACGGTGAAACCCCATCTCTACTAAAAATACAAAAAATTAGCTGGGTGTGGTGGCACACATCTGTAGTCCCAGCTACTTGGGAGGCTGAGGTAGGAGAATCAGCTGAACCCGGGAGCTGCAGTGAGCCGAGATCGCACCACTGTAGTCCAGCCTGGATGACAGAGTGAGACTCTGTCTCAAAACAAAACAAAACAAAAAGACTCTCCTAGTGATTTTAATAAAGAAGTAGTTGAGAAGCACATGCAATTAGCATATTCACTACTTAAATACAAATGCTGCCGTTGAAGTGTTCCTTGGAAAAAGTTTGCCAGCCTTTAATGTATGGCAGGCTAAACATTTTTCCAATTTTCACCATTATTTTGGTGAGCAAATACATTAGGTCACAGACCATAGAAAATACACTTTAACTGAAAATGTTCTACTTCCCTGAGATTGTTCACTAAATGTTACTGAATACTGATAGGACCCAGACACTGTGCTTGTGATAGAATACCAGTGCTGGGCCCTGAATGTACAAGGAATGCACTGTGGTCCACTATACTTAAGGATCTCCCATGCCCAGAAGCAGAGAGAGAACTCCCATGCCTGGAAAGTGTTCTAATTAAGCCCAACATAAAGAAGGCACTTAAACGTTGTCGGAGGTTTGTTGAATAAACAAAGGGCAATGGAAACAATAAGGTAAAGGGGTGTAGGGAATGGGGGATGAAGGATGGATAGAATGTCTGAATGCGGCCTAAAGAAGCAATGGAGCACAGGAGTCAGAAAGACCAGGTTTGCAGATCCAGTTCACCCGCACTAGCTCTAAGACTCTAAATTTCCATTGCTTTCACCATAATATGGGGTTAACAATAATACCTACACCATTCAGCTGGGATTAAATAAAATTATACACACACGTGTCTATATGCACGCACGCGTGTGTGTGTGTGTGTCAATAAAAGAAAGGAGCAAGGGAAAGAGGGCTGGCTGGCTTAGGCCCATTTCTTGGCCCATGGTAAGCACTCAATAAAAGTTGCCTATTGTTTTCAATGAGAGAAATGGAGTGAGGAGGGTGTTTTCTAAGAGCAGTAATTGAACAGAGTCATGGCTATAATCTCAGTGAGGGAAGGGGCTATGTCTTGGTCATGAACTCAATGGCTGAGCACAGAGTCTGTATCACAACAGAGACTCAACAGAGAGTTATTGAATCAGTGAATCAACAAATAAATTTCTACTGACTTCAGAAAATAGAAGTCCTATGTGACTGCCAAAAAGCAGGTATAAGGGAGCAGGGGGCGAGGCAGACTGGATAGGAAGAAACATTTAGTGAACAAATATTTTCGATATTGTGCTAAGGAACTCAAGATCTATTCCTTAAGTAATGAGGAACTATTGAAACAAGACAGCATTAAACTATTAACATGAGACAGTACCATGATATGTGGATGATGGCCAGAAATAGGAAGAACCAAGTTAGTGGAACCAGTCCATTGGTTATTACTATAGCGTTGGTCAGAAGTGCCCAAACTTTAAGGCACAGAAGAATCACTGGGAGCATTTTAAAAAAGCAGATTTCTGGATTCCATCCCCAAAGATTTTGATTAAGTAGATCTAGGATGGATAGAAGCACCCTGAAAAAAATCAGAAGTGGAGAAGAGAAAAGATGGGGGATTTCATGTCAGATGGTCTAAGTTCTTTTCCTGGAATAAAATGAGGCTACTTGTTACGGGCTTGGGGTGGGGAGGTGGGCAAGGAAGCTGTGGCACAAACCTAGAACTCCCAAGAGGAGATCGTACATTTGTATGGGAGGCAGTCATCGATCTCTTTCTTACTATTTGTTTTTTAGGCATTGATATAGTTTAGATATTTGTCCCCGCCCAAATCTCATGCTGAATTGCATCCCCAGTGCTGGAGGTGGGTCCTGGTGCGAGGTGTTTGGATCATGGGGGTGGATCCTTCATGGCTTGGTGCTGTCTTGTAAAAGTGAGTGAATTCTTGTGAGATCTGGTCATTTAAAAGTGTGTGGCACCTCCCCACCCCCAACTGTCTCTCTCACTTGCTCCTGCCTTCACTATAGGACGTGTCTGCTGTCCCTTCACCTTCCGCCATGGCTGTAAGCTTCCTGAGGCCTCCTGAGAAGCCAAGCAGATGCCAGCACCATGCTTCCTGAATAGCCAGCAGAACTGTGGGCCAATTAAACCTCTTTTCTTTATAAAATTACCCAGTCTCAGGTATTTCTTTATAGCAATGCAAGAATGACCTACTACAGGCATGTTCAACATGAAAACAACATGTCCAAACAGGAAAAAGATAACTTTGGGGGCTGATATAGGATAGGGGCCTGACTAACTAGGCTGGCAGAAATTAAAGGATGAGGGAGCTGAGGCTGCAGGTGACAGGACAGTGTACACAGGTGACTGTGGGTTTGGTCTGGGCTTGATGGCACAAGAAGTGAGGCTAGAGGTTTGCCTAACAGCAGACTGGCAAGGAACAGATGGGGGTAAAGAGGGAGCCCAAGAGAGGGATTGGTGGAAATGGGGGGAAGGGAGAGAAGAGTAGAAGATCGTGGGATGAGAGGGGATTTCTGATAAAAGAAAGGTGGCTAGGGATCCAGGTGTGGCTGTGAAGGTCTGTGAAGTCAGGAGGAAATGCTTTTTTCCTAGTTCACAGAAGACTGAGTTACTGGGGCACTTGCACTGCCTCTAGGCTGGTGGGGAGAACCCCAGCCGGGTGCTAGAGCCACTAGATGACACAGAAGGGATGATCAGGAGGTGACAGATGATAGCGTGAAGCAGAGGGCTCGTGATTCAGAAAGCCATCTCTGGAAAGGCCAACTTGAAGAATCCTAATGAAGGTCCTAGTTGTGCCTTCTTTTCAACCTCCCATGCTTCAGTAAGTAGGATTCTCCACGTGCGTTGGTGAGGCTTTCTTTTTTATATGATTTAATAATCTTTTCCACTAAATTAGCTATTATCATTTAATAGTTAAGTAAGCATCTAAATCAATTTGAAATGAAGGTATTACACCCGTATGTCACAGAAGACGCATGAATTAAGCTAGACCAAAATGAAATTGACATCTGCTTATATTCGTGTAGGCCCATCGTGCATAGTTTTACACATTTCTATAGGCTCTCCTCTGATTACAATAACACTAATTAGTCAATAAATAACGTTTGAGGTTCTACCTCATTTGTTCAGCATGCAAGTTCCATTTACATACTAACGGCTGCATATTTGCCTTTAATAGATGCACGATGTGGAAGTAAGTATAATAAATGAATAACCGTTTGAGTGAAAAGTTACCAAGTCTTCACGAAAAATTTGAAAACGAAACAGTCAGTAAGTCTATTTATTTCTTCTATACTAGGAAATAAAGCTAATCCCAGGATGAGATGATAAATGGAAATTATTTCAGAGTGGCACAGTAATGGAAGTGGCTCAGTGATTCTTCCACAAAGAAATGTGCAGAACCTGACGGATCAGGCTTGGCTTCTGTGGTTTGAAGCTGGAAATGCGTGCACAGCTGTGGTGACAGTGCAGATTACCCCCGTTTCCAGAGGTCTGCCAAAAGCTTTTCTTGTTCCAGTTCTAGCATCTATTAAACAATCAGGTTCTCCCCGTCAGCAATCATGTTGTGGTTCTGTGCCCAGAGGCATCACTTTTTGAGGTTGAAATAACCTATTAACAGAGTGTCTTCCATTCTCTCTTTTTTTCTTTAAAAAGGCTAAATGGCGTAATACAATTTTCTGTGCAGCAGGTGTGTAGTTAACAAGGTGCTAATTGGGAAACTGGGTGAGAATAATAAGAAACTCATACAAAACTGGAAATCTGAACCATGCAGGAAGAGGGCAACTGAATTACCTTACAATATGCAAAAATTATGGTAATACAATATTAAAGATGCAAATTTAAGCCCAGAAGAGTGAAATAAAGAGAAGATGTTGTGGTTTTTATCACTGCACCAGAATGCAAAGTGCACACCATAATACTCAAAATTGTCAAAACTTTAAACAAATAATGCAAGTCAACTTTCAATATCATCGTCTCTTCTCATTTCCTCACATATCCACCAAAATAAACACCTTAGGAAGATGTTCCAACTATTCAAATCTAGATAGCACTTTCTAGATAGAACATTTTATTCTATCTTTTTTCTTTCACTTTTCAGTCCTTGGTCAAGGAAGAAATATTTTCTGCTTAACAGACAGAAACATTTGGGAGAACAGACCTCCAAAAGCTTAATACAGCTATGATTAAAAAGAAATAACAATGTGAGTTTGGCTTTTGCTGATGACTAGCATTTACATAACCTGTCCTTAAGCAAGGTTCAAGAATTGAAGGATCCTTAAAGAGTCCAGCATGTTGGGCAGGCAGGGAAGAAACACTGTATGCCTGACCCTGACATCCGTCTTCTACCTCTCTCCCCAACCCCTGTTAATGCAGTCCTCTTTTCTGGAGGAAGCTTTCCTTTATCTTACCTGTTGACCTTTGCACTCTGTCCTCTTGACAGCCATTCCCAAGCATCAACCCATGCCAGTGCTTGCTCAGCAACTACCTCTCCCCCATAACAATATGCCCTGACTTCACCTCCCCTGGACCATCCTCTCTTAAAGGGCTCAGCTCTGACTCATCCTCCACAGTAAACAACCCTGTTCCAACTTCTCACTTCTATCTTGGCCTGAGTTGTCACTTGGGCCAGCCATACCTAAGACCAGTTGCTCAGCTGAAGACTTGACTATGCCAATTAAAACAAACAAAACAAAGACAATGACCACTACCACCACCACAATGAAGTTGTTTAAATTCACATTTTTATATTCCTGCTCAAATACGGTGGCTCACGCCTGTAATCCCAGCACTCTGGGAAGCCGAGGTGGGTGGATCAGTTGAGCTCAGCATGGACAATGTGGCGAAACCCCATCTCCACAAAAACTATACAAAAATTAGCCGGGCATGGGGGCATATGCTTATAGTCCCAACTACTCAGGAGGCTGAGGTGGGAGGATCGACCGAGCCCAGTTGGTCAAGGATGCAGAGAGCCATGACTGTGCCACTGCACTCCAGCCTGGGCAACAGAGTGAGAACCTGTCTCAAAAAAAAAAAAAAAATTATACTCCTGTACTCACCTGGCCAAAATTGAACTCATCATCTTCTTCTCCAGACCTGTTTTTTCTCCTGTTTCTCATCTACCCAGCTCCCAAGGCAGAAACCTAGGAACCATTTTCTTTCTGGCTCATGTTTACCTACTGTGATTAAACACCCACTTTACCCAGGTCAATCCCAGTTTGCACCGAGACATGCAACACAGTTATTAACAGTGCCCCTGCAAGTCTCAAAGGCAGCCAGACCCCAATTTAGGTGTTAAGCCATAGGGTCACTCTGCCTCTGCCTCACATAAGGATCCAAGATCTTTCAATGTTTTCTCCTAAAATTTCCTGAGCCCAACCCTACCTTCTAGTCTCTCTGTTACTACCCTACATGATATCACATCATTTCTTCTGTGCCGGGCCTCGAGTGGGCTCCTAGCCTCATGGCCCCAATCTATCCTCATCTTATCCGCACTGGGATCTGTCTAAAATAGAAATCTGATCACAAAATTGGATGTCTTGCTAATTGCCTTACAGAAACCATTCAAAGCCTAAGCTTTGCGAGCTAAGTTTGCCACTGCCCACATTCCCCACACTAACTCAGCACACTCTGCTATAAACACCCTACACTGAACCACAGACTATGGCTGTCTCACGCCTCCAGGACTTTGCTCACACTTCTGTCTCCTTCCCATTACTGGACTGATTGCCTGCCACACAGTGCAGACTCCTCAGGCCTAGCTACCTTTATCAAGCACCTATACATATTAATGCCCCTCCCTCACTAGTGCGGGAGCTATCTGAAGGCAGGAAACTATACTTCCTGTGTCCCCAGGGTCAAGCACGGTGCCTGGCACAAGAGCAGATGCTCAGAAATGTTTTATAAATAATTAATAACGCTCTTGTGTTTGGGATAAATCCTGTTGAATGTCACATACATCAACAAAAATCTTAATAAAGAGCAGAGAAATCACTCCCATTGTGGATTTATGCAGCCTGGGACCATTTCCCCCTTGCTATGTTGACAGTTGAACGTGAATCAGAACCGCATATTACAAGAGTGACAAGAGACAGAGTGAAAGAAAATGCCACATAGAGAAAAACAGCAAGAGACACAGACAGAAAGGGGGAAGGACAGAGACAGACCAGACAGAAGCAGAGAGAGGGCTTGCACTCTGCACTGTTCACATAATCACAAGTCAACAGAGAAACACTCATCTCTTTTCACAACAACTTTTTTAAGCTGGCAAGATTAAGTCAAGATGAATGTCAGGAGTAACAATGCAATCTGAGGTACACAGAAGAGGAGATAGGAAAATCCTACTCACTTTCATAGCATCCTAGAATAAGGAGTGGCCTTTGAGAGTATCTGAACTTATTTTACCAGTGAGAAAATGTAGTGACAGAACAGTCAGGTGAGTGACCCAGGGGAAAATAGCTAGCGACTAGCTAAATAATTCCAAGGCCTCTAAATTTCAGATCTCTTCTGTCTCATCATACACTCAAAGATGATGTTGGGGATGGATTTGACTGTATGTCGTATATATGCATAAACATGGGCAGAATTTTAAAAGACTCTTAGAATCAACTCTTTATCCTCCATCTATTGTCTGAACCTTAGGAATCTTAACATGTAGGACCTAGGGTGATGACACCAGGCTATACTCAACAAATAGATATGTATCTAGAAGAGTAACAGCAAGACAAAGAACGAACCTCAAAAACCACATCAAATAATATCAGTTCCTTGTGGCCAGTAATGGTCTAAATGTGATATATATTTTCAACCATCATGCTTAACAATGTAATCTGTACTGGCAGCAATTTGTTTGCAGCAATACGATGGCCACATTTGCAAATGATTTCCTTTTAAAAATATATAAAAATAACAAAAAACAAAGAACTCAATTAAAAAATGCGCAAAGTACTCGAAAGGACATTTCTCCAAAGATGATATTCAAATGGCCAACAATTACATGAAAAGATGCTCAACATCACTAGTCATTAGAGAAATGCAAATCAAAATCCCAATGAGATACCACCTCACACCATTAGGATGGCCATTATTAAAATAAACAAAAATAACTCGTTGGCGAGGATGTGGAGAAACTGGAACACTTGTGCACTGTTGGTGGGAATATTAAATGGTGTAGCCACTATAGAGTATAGACTGTAAACCTATAGACTGTTTTAGACTATAGACTGTAAACCCAGCTCTTCCCAAAGTTGGTTCGGCCTACGCCCAGACATGGGCAAGGACAGCTTTGGGGCTGGAAACAAAATGAAGTTGTTTGGGTCAAATCTCTTTCACTGTCTCAGTGACAGTTTTGCAATGACAGTTTCAAAAGCTGCCTATCACTCCTTTAAAAATACCTTGTACACTCACGGTTAAGTCATAACCTAATTAAGGCTTGTTGGTTTCACCTGTAAGGGGACTTTTTGTAAAGTTCAAAAGCGGAACATCTTAAATGCTTGGTGTGGCTAAAGTCAAGTAACAAGGGATTTAAAAGGATTTTCTTAAAGAGTGCCCAGCTTAACTAAAAGTAGATACTCAAGTTATAGGTATATTTAAAAGTCCTTCATGTTTTTCTCTTCTTGAATCTTGTTTTTCTGGAAAAAGGCTCTTTTCTTCTCAGTTAACTGAATTATTTTTCTCCATTTTGTGTCTTACCACTCTTAATGCATGCATAAAAGGCCCTAAAATAACTTCTGGTAGTATGGGACTTCTGGGGAAAAACAGAGGAGGCATCACAAACCCTGTTTTGGGGAAAATCCTCTGTTTTCCTCATGAAACCCCAGGAATTAAAAGGAGCTAAATCCCTCTCAAAATCAACGGCTCTGTTCTGTTTTGCTTGTGTTATCTGATGGTTTTGAGTTTTGGGGGTATCAGAAATTACTTCGCATTGTGAGAGTTTTGGTGTGTAATAACTAGGTAGAAAATACACTGTAAGGGATGGCTGATAGTAGTTATAAATCAGAGAAGCATGCTCTTGACCACCTGGAAGATAAGGAAACATCCCCACTCCCGACTGAGAGATGAGACTCCCATCAGGCATGAGCTGATTACAAAATAAGCCAATTGGCTTTGGGCTGCCTTGTAATGACATGCATGGTACAAGCACTACGCTGTCTTCTCCCATAGCATCCAGATGGTCTTCTCATAAATTAAGCATTAAAATAAAAGCATAGCAAGGAGCTCTTAAGACACTAATCTGCCCTTTAGTAAAAGGGTTATGAAAGGTTTGTAAAGATTTCACCTCATGGTCAAATTGGTTAGGATTAGATGGAATAATCCACACGGTTTCATGTAAACGAATTGGGGTTAACATTAATAAACTAATGCAAGGGTAAAATTTGGCTTTGCACAAAATTTTCATGTCACAGTAAAGGCTAATGAAAGGTTTTTTCCTTTTGAGTCATCATTTTGGCAAAATAATTTACGGCAATCTGGAAATTGTCCTTCATGATGCCTGGCTTTTTGGATAGTTCAGAAGGCCCCTGAAACATTCAGAAAAGAGGTAAACAGGATCATTTGAGATGTTTAGTCACATGAGATTGCCGAAATGATGTCCAATCTTCTTTAAGTTATATTTTGGTGAATAATACTAATATATGTTCCAAAATTGTATGGGATTTCTAAAATGCTAATGTCTAAGTATATGCTATCAATCATAATTAATGGTAAAGTTACTGTAAACCATGAAGATAAATAAACTTGTCAGTCATATTTTTAACTATAACTGTCCTGGAAATTTGTCATTCACAAACAATTGTTGTCTTGCTTTGTTCCTTCTCAAAAGACAGTTTATCATCAAGCTATATTAAGGACTTTAACAGGTGTTCTCAAATGCAGGTTTTTAATAGCTTTAAAGATTGTAATATTGAAATAAAGAAAGTACAGAGCTCATAAAAAACTGACATGTTGACAAATCTCAAGCAAAACAAAAGTTAACTAAATGGACTACACTCAGAAAGTGAAAGTAACCTTTTTAACTTTTGCTTGGAATACTGCTGATCCTTGTTTTGATTTTCAGCATCAAGGAAAGTTATTTTAAACTATTTATGGCCTTTAATAATTGAGTAAGGTATACTCCTGTAAACAAAATTTGGAGCATGTTTATTTTTCTCTGCCTGGTTCCTCTAGAATTTGGAAACTATCTGTGAGTACTCTTAACTTATGGCAATATAGTTGTTTGCATCAGTGCAGTAAGAATCCATTTTTCTTCATCAACAGGACACAACTGGAAAAACTGGTTATTTTACCAAGGCTTTGACTGAAAGTGTGTGTTTCCCTTTAAGGAATCAAGCGTGACAGGCAAAGCCAATTAAAAAAAGCCCCTTAGGAAGAACTGGCCTCATGCCTTGTCTGCACAGTCCCCGCACAGGATTCCTAACCTGTGGTCAGTAAAGAATGACACTTTCTAACAGGTCTGGAAGCTCCAAGTTTATCTTGGGACCTCGAGAGGATAGGCTCACCAAACACACAGGTATTAGAGGACACAAACCCATGGCTGGGCTTGGCTTTAGAAGTCTTATGTGAAATTCCTTGTGGAACAGTTTCATCAAAGTCAATCCAAAAGGTCTATGTAAAAATAACCATTCTTGCTGCACTTTATGCAAATAATCAGGTCAAGTTTAAGTCTAAAGTTTATTCATAACTAGTTTTTACCAAAAATGAGGACTGGAGAAAAAGATTTTGCTCCAAAGTTTATCTTACATTTGTCATTAAATCCTAGTCTCATTCATTGTTTTTAAGCTTTTTGCCTACATTTTAGACTAACTCTGCTTGATCCTGTGAATCAAGTGGTGATCTTCCGCAGCTTGGAAACAAACAAAAAAAAGGGATGGGTAACATAAAAATGTGAATCAATACGCTAGTTCTGGGCAATTATCTTGCAAATTCTGCCGGGTAATGAAAGTGAGTAAGGTGCCCATAACCCGGAGGTTTCTTTGTTTGGGAAAATAAAACCAAGGAACTTCATAGACCCCCAAAGGAGAATTCTATATCTTAGCAAGTAAAATTTTAGATGGAAATTACCTACCCACACCACACTTGTGGGAATTGCTGTCCTCACTCTACTATTTGCAACAGGGTTATACAGGGTAGCACCTTCTAACTGAAATATTGGACAGAGAGTTTCCATTGCTGTAGTATTTTGCTTAATTATTACCCTTACAGCAGGGATAATAGTTGACAAAAAGGAAGCATGAAAGTTTTACTATCACTGAGTCTGCTAGGACTTTTTATTGGGTTTAGTAATGCAGTTTTAAATGAAACATGCTGCTTTTGGATTAACACCTCTAGTAAAGTAGAAGAAAATCTACAGGTACTTAAAAATCAAGTCAAAATTGTTGACAGGCTCAGGGAAAATGCCGGCCTCAGCCCTGAGGGGCTACAATCTCTCTTTAATAAATTCCAGTCTTCTTTATGGAATTGGTTAACCCCTTTATTAAGCACTTTCTTGCTTATATATCTTGTATTGGTATTTGGACCCTGTATACTCCATACTATAACTCAAATTGTTTCTTCTCACCAAGAAGCAATCAAACTCCAAATGGTGCTGTAAGCTGAACCACACACACATGGACATGCCATTCTTCCAAGGATCCTTAGATCGACCCCAGGAGGAGCCCTAGCTACTGTTCCCCATTCGAAACCCCTTTTCAGCAGGAAGTAGCCAGAAGGAGTCATCCCCCAAAACCCCCTAACAGCAGTTAGTGTGGCATCTCCACAGGGGGAATGATGTAGGAAAAGGGGTCCTTGGGAAGTTTTCATTTTTTAAAGCATCTCTGGAAAAGTTTCTTGTAAAGCCCTGGCTCTTAGAGCCAGGCCAGTAACCTTTGATATGCAAATAACGTCCATTAGAAACTGTGTCTACCCAAACATGGAGATTCCCTCAGCCTTCTTGTCCTTTCCCCACATGTTCCTGGCAATGTGGCTGCCCCCACATATTCCCACGTGTATATAACATTATTGTGCCCTGCATTTGCATATTGAAAGTCTAGGGTGGGAGGGCCAGCATTTTCATGGGCTACGTGAATGACATGCCTAGTCAAGCCAATCCTCTGAGCCCTATGCAAATCAAACACTGCCTCCTCCAGCCTCTGCATATATACCTGGCTGGTATACGTGGCAGGTGGGGACCTCCTCTTTTGGCTTTGGAGCCCCCCTCCCTCTGTCTCTGTACGGGGGAGCTTCTTCCTTCTTTCCTCTCCCTTCCTTCTTGCCTATTAAACTTTCTGCTCCTTAAAACCACAAAAACAAAAAAGAAAAACAAAAAAACAAAAATTAGCTGGGCGTGGTGGCAGGTGCCTGTAATCCCAGCTACTCGGGAGGCTTAGGCAGGAGAATCGCTTCAATCTGGGAGATAGAGGTTGCACTGAGCCTAGATCGCGCCATTGCACTCCGGCCTGGGCGATGAGCGAAACTCCATCTTAAAAAAAAAAAAAAAAGAAAAAGAAAAAAGAAAAGAAAAGAAATGGTTAAATAGTTAATTTTATATTACAAAGATTTAACACAATGAAAAACACTGTGTGTGTGTGTGTGTGTGTGTGTGTGTGTGTATAAATTACAGTGGAGTCAAGGTTGTCATTTTAAGAATATCCATTTGACTGACTTACATAAAATATACATCTGTGGGAATGGGCTGTGCCAATAAATGTCAGGGCAGGGAAAAGGCAGATGTAACAAACACAGACACATGCCATATAACTTGCTTTCTGATGAACACTCATCCGAAAACCTGAATGTTAAGGAGATTATTTCCTTGGGGCCTCATTTCAACATCCTGTCATGATGCTGCTATGAGTTCATGCTTTGAATCACCTACTGCTTTATAGGAAGCCACAGAAAGAAGAGATACTCAATACTCTTGATCAGGTATTGAGCCAAAACCCCCACTAACCTGGTGACAATATAATCAGAAGGCAAGCACTCTATAACGCCGTTAAAAGACCACTTCTTAACTGGGCACCCTAGGGACAAGAGGATGCCGTAAAAAGTTGGTAGACAAGATGGACAAGTGGTGATAATCAAAAATGGGGGGAAATGAGCATGTATTCAAAATAAGCTTGCAAAGTCAGACTTTGAAACATCGAAAAATTATAATATGAAGAAACACAACCAATTAAATCAACAACAAGAATATGAACTCATTTTAGATAAAAAATAATACAGAATAGCTAAAGGCTTTAAAACAAGTATACTGAAGATATTCAAATTACTAAACAAAGTAACAACCATTTTTAAAAGCAAGAAATTAGGAAACAAAATCAGACAGAAATTAAACAAGAAAATGGAGAAGAAAAGAAGCTCATTTTAGAAATAAAAAGTAAACATTATTAAGTTAAAAAATTAGAGAGGAAATTATTAAACTGGTAGAAAGTACTGACAAATTCACCAATACAAGACAAAGAAATAAGAAATACCAAAAAATAGTTAAGATAACTGATAACTAAGAAGCTCCAATATACAACAGGAAACCTAGAGAAGGTAATAGAGAGAATCTAGGAGAGCCACTATTCAAGGAGAGTAATAACTCAGACTTTTCTAGAGTTGAGTAAAGATATGAATCCCGGAACAAAAATACCCTCCAAATACTAAGCAGGATAAACCAAAACAAATCCAAACCAAAATGCATCATATTAAAATTAGGGAATGTCAAATTTAAACAGAAATTCTGAAACATCACTCAAAATAAAAGGCATTATTATCTACAAAGAAACAACACTTTGATTAATATTAGACTTTTCCAGAAGGCAGAAATAGCATCTTCAAAGAGCTAAGGGAGAATGACTACCTTTCCAGAATGTTATGCCTTGTTAAACTGCCATTCAAGAATGGGAGTAACATGAAGACATTCTCAGACATACAAAGACCAAAAGAATGTACCACTCATAACCCCTCACAGAAACAAATACTCAAACAATATACTTCATTAAGAAGAAAAGCAAACTCTAAGAGGTTTGATATGCCAAAAAAAACAGTGTGTGTAAAATTTGATAAAATATTAATAATTATGCTTAACTGTTGACTAATTTAAAATAGTGTTTCTTTAAATCAATATATTAAGAGAATATTACCAACAGCTTTATGCCAATACTTTTTTTGTTTGTTTGTTTTTGTTTTTGAGACGGAGGCTTGTTCTGTTGCCCAGGCTGGCGTGCAGTGGCATGATCTCGGCTCACTGCAACTTCTACCACCTGGGTTCAAGCAACTTTTGTGCCTCAGCCTCCCAAGTAGCTGGGATTACAGGCATGAGCCAGTGCACCCAGCTATTTTTTTTGTATTTTTAGTAGAGACAGGGTTTCACCATGTTGGCCAGGCTGGTCTCAAACTCCTGGCCTCAAGTGATCTGCCTGCCTCTGTCCCCCAGAGTGTTGGGATTACAGGCGTGAGCCACAGCGCCCAGCTGTGCCAATACATATGAAAATTTAAAAACAGACAATTCCCTAGAAAAAACCACAATTAATCAAAACTGATACAAAGTAAAACAGAAAATGTGAATAGCCTAATAACTATTTAAAAATTTAATTGTAATTTAAAAACTTTCCACAAAAGAAACTCCAGCCCCAAGTGACTTCACTAGTAAATTGGATCAAACACTTAAGAAAGAAATAACATAAATCTTCAAAATATTATTCCAGAGGCTAGAAAATGGAAATACTTCTAAACTAGTTTTATGAGGATATCATAATCTTAACATCAAAACCTGAGAAGATCGTAACAAACACAGGAAATTAAAGGCCTAGTTCACCCCTGAACACAAAGTCAGAAATCCTAAAGAAATATTAACAAACAAAATCTACAAGTATATAAAATGGTAATATTTTGCAGTCAAATTATATATATTTCAGGAATAAAATATTGGTTTAACATTCAAAAAACAATCACTAAATGTCACAAGATTAACAGAATAAAGCCAGAAATCATAAGATCATCTCGAAATATATAGACAGATTTAATAAATTTTAGCATTCATTTGTAGCAACAACTTGAAGCAAACTCAAAGTAGAAGGAAACACCCCTAATTTGATAAAATGCTTTACAAAAAACTTACAAGAAGCACTTTAAGTAAACACTCATTTCAAAACTTTGAAGAGCAGACATTTAATTACGTTTTAATTTTATATCACCATAGTTCATTTAGTTCGATCTCCTCAATTCAATTTACTCCAAAAAGAATGAAAGAATCACTCATGGTAAAATGGCTTTTTCAAAGGCGGTAAGCTAATAAATTGCTTTTCACATTTAGATCTACAAACCCCCTGGAATTCATTTTTGAACAATTATAAATATGGGGTCAAGTTTCATTTTTTTTCCATGTGGACACCCAATTATCCCTGCTCCATTTACACAGAAGCCTTGTCCTCCTGCCTCTGTTCCATAGTGCTAGTGCTGCCATAAATCTAGCATAGTGCGCAGGTGTGTTTCCAAGCTCCTCATTGCATTCCATGGGCCTTTGTGTTGATCCTTGCATCAGTTCCACATTCTCACAATTACTATCACTTTTCAAAAAGATGACATAAGATTAAGCAAATCCTTCAACATTGTTATTTAGCTATTCTTGGCCCTCTACATTTCCATATACATTTTAGAATTTGCTCAACAAATTTCCAAAAAACTTCTCTGGATTTCTATATTTTAGTGACTTTTACCATATAACATAAATTTTGAAGCAATCCTACAGAATGTTTTTTGGACACATACAAATGGATAAGAACATGAGAAAGGTAAATATCAAACTGTAGCTAGTGGTGACCTCTGGGGAGACTGGGAAGCAGAATGAAATCAGGGAGACGTAGGTGTTTCAACTGCATTTCTAATGTTTTTACTGTTTTTTTGTTTGTTTGCTTTGAGATAGGGTCTCACTCTGTTGCCCAGGCTGGAATGCAGTGGCATGATCACAGCTCACTGCAGCCTCGACCTCCCCGGCTCAAGCAATATTCCTGCCTGGCCAACCAAGCAGCTGGTACCACAGGTGCACCACCATGTCCAGCTAATTTATTTTTATTTGCTCTGTAAAGACGGGGTCTCTCTATGTTGCCCAGGCTGGTCTCAAATGCTTGGGCTCAAGCGATCTTCCCGCTTCAGCCTCCCAAAGTGCTGGGATTACAGGAGTGAGGCCCCTGCGCCTAACCACTTTTACTCTTTAAAAAAATCTGTAGTAAAATCCTAGGATTTGACAGAGGTAAATAGCTGGCTGGTAGGCACACAGTTCTACATTTTTATCAGCAAGTTAAATCCAGAAATATACGTTTAGAACATATCATCATTTTAAAAATAAATCAAAATAGATGCAAAATCGCTTCTCAAATCACAGTTACCCAAGAGTTCAAACTCTGCCATATGGACTCTTACAAGGGTCGTCCATTTATAATTCACCATAAAGGACAGTGAATTATAACTTGTAATTAATAAATCTTACAGTGAGCGTTAAAAAATAAATTCTGAGGCCAAGGCGGGTGGATCACGAGGTCAGGAGATCGAGACCATCCTGGCTAACATGGTGAAACCCCATCTCTACTAAAAATACAAAAAATAAAAAATAAAAAAATAAGCTGGGTGTGGTGGCGGGTGCCTGTAGTCCCAGCTACTCAGGAGGCTGAGGCAGGAGAATGGCATGAACCCGCGAGGCAGAGTTTGCAGTGAGCCGAGATCATGCCACTGCACTCGAGCCTGGGGGACAGAGAGAGACTCCGTCTCAAAAAAATAAACAAATAAATAATTAAATAAAATAAATTCTTCTCTAATATTGAAAGAAAACATGTAATTCATTATTTGGCCAAATGATAGAAAGAATAATTAAACTATCCACTATATGAAGTACTGCTTCCTTTAACCACATTCTTCATCTTCAAGGTTGCAAGATTACACATAGAAAATGCCAGTATAAACGCATGAAGTTTGAAAAGCCATGTGACACTCTACCTACAAAGTAACTTGTTTCTCTGTCTAAATACAGGCAGCCCTCAATTCCTCACATCTCAGGTGTGCCCATGTGCTCCTCTTACCCTCTGAGTAAAGGAGCAGAATGAGCCTCTGATTGAAGTAGTGAAGAAATGCGTTTGTTCTTTTGTACAGGATGAGGGAAGTTAACGACACAGAAAAACTACATTTACCTTTCTTAACTAATTATTCTTACTCAGTAAATTACTTTGACTTCATTTGGTCCCTAGAACGTTAATATGAACCTTGACTTTTCCATTTGAATTAGTTCTGATCAACATTTGAGAGTTCCTTGGTAACTCTGAAGATCTAACTCCTAGGTTGTGTAAAGTTAGTATTTCAGCCCTTTTCCTTTTGACCAATATAGTTAAGTCAGTTGAATGCACCATAATGACCCTGATTTCTATACTCAATTTCAAACCGAAAAAAGTGTTCCATAGCTACACACTTCCCACCAATCCTATCCAGTTATCCTATGAAAGGTAGGCACAGCCAGTTCTATGCAAAAGGAACATGTTATGTTTAACTAGGATTAAAGCATTAAACTAAAGGAGGCGAGCTCTAAGGGGAGATTTCAAGCATTAGTCAGCAGAAGATAGATTGTAGGCTGCAACAGTTTTTCCAGTACCCCCTATCATCCATTTCATAAGTGACCATCTGTTCATAAAAATATCTACAGTAACAAGAGATATCTTTCTCGATAGGCCATGATTGTACACATGTGGCATTGTTCGTTGTGAAATAATGCAAAAGCATAAGCTTTATTGACACGAGCTCAGTACAAATATCAGAAAATAACAGGCTAACTTCACAGACCACTCTGACTACCTTGAAAATGAGATGTGAGGGAAGTCTGCTGAGGTCTCCCAGAAAAACTCTCCCTCACTCTTATGAAAAGGAAGCAAATGTGCTCCATTTTCTGTCTCTAGACGTTGTCGTAAGAGGTAATGCTTGTGGTCCCGTCACCATCCTTCAATCTTGAGAGGACAAATCTGAGATTAAAATGTTCAGTGTTTTAGAGCCCTGGCATCACTGCGGGTTTGCTGCTGTTGTTGTTATTTAAGCCATTCTTAGCTGGGTCTTCTCTTGGTTGAAGCCAAAGTCATCCCTCCTGCCACCCTGTAACAATTACTTCCCATATTCACACTCAGGAAAAAAAAGACATTAACTTGTCCATCAACACTTAATTGATACGACCTTTCTTTCTACGTCAGTTCCTTCAAACCGGTTCCTTCTGGTCCCTATTCTGATGATCTCTTTCTACAACTGTAACTTTTTAACTCTATAATCCACCAACTATTAAATGTACAGTTTAGGTGATTCTGTGCAGTATAAAAGTATCCCTCTGATTCCACAGAGTGCCAAAACTTCTTCAGTCAGATAGATGATTCCTAAAATATATTACACCTAATTTGTCAAATTTTATAGACTGTTGGCAAGATTTAAGGTTTAATATGCTATCTATAAATAGAAAGTTCTTATATATTTATTTCCTTAAGCTTCACAGCCAAGAAAATGCAACAAGGATATTGGATATGTTTAACATTCTTCCAATCTACACTACAAGAAAACTGTAAGAAAATGCTGAGGACCTAGATCGTTCATTTTTTCTCTTTCTTTCTTTCTTTCTTTCTTAGTAACTTAATAAACAAGAAAGAAATATGGAGTTACAATAATCCAAATATGTAAAACATACCAAAAGATCTCCTTTTTCACAAAAAAATCAGCCCATAGACCTCTGATGGAGCAGGTTTGAACACAAGCAGAGGGCCACAATCCATAGGACTCCATAGACTACAGGGCAATTAAATGTCCTAACATCATAAGGCTAAAGTTATACAGTATCAGTGTTGGCAAAGCAAGCTGAAGATGGAAACTGACGGTACAAGGGACTGAGAATCAGGAGGACTGTGGCTGCCGCTCTCAGAACAGCGCATGTTTCCTTTTGACCAATATAGTTAAGTTCGTTGAATGCGCCACGATGACCCTGATTTCTATACTCAATTTCAAACAGAAAAAACTGTTCCATAGCTACACACTCCCCACTAATCCCATCCAGTTATCCTATGAAAGGTAGGCACAGCCAGTTCTATGCAAAAGGAACATGTTAGGTTTAACTAGGATTAAAGTATTAAGCTAAAGGAAGCGAGCTCTAAGGGGAGATTTCAAGCATTAGTCAGCAGAAGATAGACTGTAGGATGCAATAGTTTTTCCAGTACCCGCTATCATCCATTTCATAAGTGACCATCTGAAGTTGTGGGAGTGGTGGTGACAACAGAGTAATAGTAGTGGTGGTAAAAATGTAAATAACATTTAACATGGATTAAGTGCTTACAATGTGACAGGCTCTGTTATAAATGCTTTAGATATAAGCACTATAATTATTCCAATACAAACTTGTCTATAGTCTCGGTCACTGCACCTCTCCTTATTTTTAAGTCAACAATGCTTACTGAATACATATAAAAGGTTCTATGATTGGTCATCTTTCACATTTCTTCCTGTATCCCTTCCTATTAGTTTTTTTCTGAGATAAACATCTCTTCTCCAGCAAAAGAAAATACTTAATATACTTTCGGGGGAAGTAAAATGAGAAAAATACACATGGAAATACTGAAAAAGTTTGAGATCCATGAATTTCACTGCAACACAATGAAGCCGATGCGATTCTCACAGCTGGATTTATTTGGGAATAGAATGAGGAAACACTGCAAAATCCCACATTAAGTCTCTATTAGACAACATTTATGATAATGACAGCAAAACCAGATCTAGAAGCTATTCCAAGCCAAGGAGATTAGCAAGTAATCAGAGGCTCAAGGCCTAATACAATTCTGGAGAGACATGGAAGGACTTAGAGAATTAACTAGCAAAAAAGAATTAAAGAAACGAAGAAGAAAATTTTGACCACCACATTCATCGGTCAGTATCAGTGAAATTCGACATTCACCTATGTATAGTTGCACCAGTGTTACACACTGTATTAGTCCGTTTTCATGCTGCTGATGAAGACATACCTGATACTGGGAAGAAAAAGAGTTGTAGTTGGACTTACAGTTCCGTGTGGCTGGGGAGACCTCAGAATCATAACGAGAGGTGAAAGGCACTTCTTATGTGGTGGTGACAAGAGAAAATGAGGAAGACGTAAAAGCAGAAACCCCTGATAAGCCCATCAGATGTCGTGAGACTTACTCACTATCACGAGAACAGTATGGAGGAAACCGCCCCCGTGATTCAAATTATCTGCCATCTGGTCCCTCCCACAACACGTGGGAATTATGGGAGTACAATTCAAGATGAGACTTGGGTGGGGACACAGAGCCAAACCATATTACATATTATTTAATAAGTGTCTCTTGACAAACCTGCCTCATACTCTAGATTAGAAATAACTTTAAGTCAGGGACCAAGTTCACCTTACTCTAGCATCTAGCACAGCAGCTTGGTATAGGCAACAGTAACAGCTTACTAGTTCAATATTAGGAGCTCTCTGGAGTCAGCTTTGGTTAAAATCCTGGCTCCGTTACTTACTACCACAGTTATGGTTGAACTACTTGCTGACGCTAAGCCTCAGTTTCAGAATCTATAATATGGATTTATAGTACTCGCCTCATCCACTGTGATGCATAAAAGCTCTAACATAGGCAAAGCATTTAGCTCAATGGCTTACACACAGCATTCAACAAATGCCAAGTATTATAAGGTCCTCAACAAATTAATGTACAGGTGAATAGTGTATTGAACTGTGATTGCTATAAGGCATGAAAGAGCCAATCCTGGCCTTAAGAAACTCCCAGGCCTCATATCATGCAGCACTCATGGCTGATGTTTGCTACCATAGAAATAGCAAGGATGAACTCTGACCCAGAGTTTTCCCTGGGACTCTAGGCATGACTGACCTCAGAGATGACCTAATTGATACAAGACTCTTTGATAGTAACTGTCCCTCCTGCTGATGCTTCCAAATTCTTTGCCCTTTCTCTTCTTTCCTCGTCTTTAGCTTCCTTTTTTCTGAAGTAAATACTAACACTTTCCCATCACAAATTAACATGCACAAGCAAATCTCTGACTTAAGTATAATTTTTAAAAATGTGCATTTAAACTAAATGAGTTATTCACATAGCTCCCTCACCTTGAAAAATACAAGGGAGAAAGGAAGGAAGGAGTTTCAGCGGTTAATCCAAAAAACAAGTGTAATAGTTTTACAACTGTTGGAAATCCATGGAAAAAAAATTTAGGGCAAAAAGAAAGAAAATAGTTTCAAGATTGAGTGCCAAAGGTATCAAATTACAGACCTGCTTATTATAATAGTTATACTCAAAATGAGAGTGCAACAGAGAAGGAAGTGAGTTTCACCACCTAGTCAGACCATCTCCTTTTACCATCTGATTGAACGACGATGCAGCTGAGACCCTGACAAGTTAAATAATTTTAACCATCATTACTTTGATTCAAAGTGTGGCTCGTGGACCAGCAGCATGAGCTTCACCTGGGAGACTGTTAGAAATGCAGAATCCCAGGCACCCCCCCAGACCCACTGAATTAGAATCTGCATTTTAACAAGCTCCATCAGGGATTCACCTGCACACTGAAGTTTGAGAAAGCATTAATACTTGTAGCCTACAAACCAGTAAGTTCATAAATTAGATCATTTAAACTTCATGCTGTATTTTTCTGTAAACTGTATACTGATTTTTAGATTTGTTAAAAAAAAAATTTAAATCCTTCGGCTCTGAATAATCTACCTATGAGTTTTATACTCAGGTTAAACTTTAGGGAATGGCTTCTGGAAGCCCTGATTGAGCCACATACATAATATAACGATGCTATTGAGATGATGGCTCTGCTACAACTTTCTCACGTATAACACTGCAAGAATAACAGCGCCCAAACTCAGAGGGTTACTGAGAAAATTAAATTAAGACATGGAAAGTCTTTATAATAATGCTTGACACAGAGTAAGGCTGAAGTAAGTATTAACTACTAACTACCAGTATTATCATCTTGGATAGAGTGTAGTATCATAGGTTTGCAGCCACTACCCATCCATCCTCATCTACTCCTGTTGCAGTGATAAGTATTTGAGACTCCATTCAGGATTAGAAATATTATAGTCTGTGGCCTCAGAAGAGAGCCAGTAAAACCCTTCAACTGGCAAAAAAGATAACAGCCAACATTGCTGAATTATTTCATCCAATGAGGGCTGACCTTGTAAGCCACCATGGATAGACACAGAATTAGTAAGTTCTAATAAAATCTGTAAGTAAAATGTACAATGTTGAGTAATTTTCAATAAGTATCGCTCTGTGTAGGACTAAATATTGAATTCATAATTTTAGACTGTTTAAAAAACAAAGTATAAATTAAAGTTTTATTATTGAATATTCAGTTCAATGCACTGAAACAGCAAATTTTGCTTCAGGGGAGTTGGCAGGAGTATATGCAACAAAGACCCAAACACTCAGAACGAATACAGCATGGGAAGCTGCAGTGGTGGACAGAACAAGTTATCACTTGCATAACAGACCAACCATATTGTTGACCCACTTATCTCAAGCACAGATCCAGGTTGGTTAAAGAAAGCCGTGGTAGGCAAAGCACTTAATTCAAAATATGTAAAATGAAAATCAAAAATTAAAATCACATTTTAACTTGAGTTTCTTACCGACTAGATTTAAACAATGGGTTTCAAGGTATGCAGGAAAAGAGTCACACAGGTGAGGACTCAGGGTCCCATCAATCAGAGACTGTTGCTAGCACCCAGGAGAGTGCCCCACAGCTGGACAGAAAAATGTACAGGACAGGATGTGGAGGCCGCACAGAGAAAGACACCACAGAAGCCAACACAGCCTAGAGCATCACTTAGGAGGGCCTAAAAGGAGACCAAGGAAGAGAAATTTCTGCTTCTTGCACAATAGGATTCCCAAATGGCTTCCAGAGTTTCCTGGCCAGGGGATCCACAAGTTCATAGCTGCCAGCAGGCCTTTTCCCCATTTTCTCGCCCCACCTCTGAGATTGCAGAGAATTACAATCATTTTAAGTATTTTTCTCAAGGCAGGTCAACTGTAGTAATAAAACAAGTTTTCTGTCAACACAGTCCCCTCTTATATATGTAAATATGACTACTCTACATAAATAGTTAAAAATGGCTAACACTTTAATACTATCCTTATTTTTTATCCCTAAAGACAAACCACTCTATTATATCTGAAGGCAAGCAATCTGTCATGACGAAATAGGATATAAAATGGCACAAGTGATAGGCTAAATAATAGCCCCCTTCCACAGATATCCATCTCTTACTCCCTGGAACCTGAGAATACGTTATCCTACATTAAGATCTTTATAGATATAATTAAGGAAGGATGTTCAGATGAGGTGATTATCCTGAATATCCTGGTGGGTTCCATGTAATCAGAAGAGTCCTTCGAAGAGGGAGGCAAAAATTCAGAGAGAGGGTGAGGTGTTTACAGAGGGAAGTGGCAGGGCTTGGGGGAAGGCAACGTGATGCTGTCATAAGCTAAGAACTGAGGACTGTCTCTAGACGGGCAAAGGCAAGGGAACAGATTCTCCCCCAGAGCCTCCAGAAGGAACCAGCCCTGCTGACACCTTTACTTTAGGCCAATCAGGCTGATTCTGGATTTCTGTCCTCCAAAAATATAAGATAATAAGCTCATGTTGTTTTAAGCTTCTAAGTTTGTGGTAATTTATTATAGCAGCAACAAGAAACTAATACGTATTTTTGTATCTGGAAGTGAGGTATTGCTTGTAACAAATACATAAAAATGTGGAATTAGCCTTGGAATTGGTCAGTGGGTAGTAGATAACTTGGAGCACCATGATATTAAATGGCTATTTTGCCTTAAAGAGACTCTTGTAGAAATATGGATGTTATAGACTGTGACAGGCAAGGAAAAAGTGAGGAGCATGGTAGAGAAAACCTATACTGTCTGAGAATATCCAAATATTCATAAACATACTGGTGGTAGCAATACAGATGTCAAAAGCCCTGCTGGTGAGGGCTCGCAAGGAAATGAGGAACATGTTAGTGGAAGGTGGAGGAAAGGGGATCCTTGTTCATTCATAGCGGCAGAATTAGATGAATTGGAAGTGGAAAGCAAAACTTGTAAACAATGAACTTGGATATTTAGCTGAGGAAATTTCCAAGCAAACAGTGAAAATGCAGCCTGCTTTATTCTTGCAGGAGAAAACAGACAAATTAAGAGAACTGCTATGCAAAGAGGAGCAAGATTAGATAATTTGGGAAATTCTTAGCCTATCTATACTGAAAAAGACAAAAAGTTAGGGGTTTTGCTGAAAGAAAAGTGCTTTGGAGAGAAAGCCATGAGTGCAGCTATACAACCCTTTGTTAATGCCTCAGAAGTTTTGAAGGATCAGGGTATTTAGTCAAACAGAGGGCTCTTTGAAGAAATTAAGCATATGAGTCAAGGATCCCCTCAGGCGTCTCAGCAGAAGCCAGAAATAGCAATGAATTATTCAAGAAAGATCTGCAGAGGAGCCTCTTGTGTAATGGAATGAATCCCTATGATATAAATGGGAGAGCCACAAGGTTTTTGAGAATGATTTACCATCAGGAACACTGTCAGCTGGAATTGAGAGGGACAAAAGAACAAAAAGAGAAGGAAAGAAAGAAGGCTATTTGACTCCCCAAATTCTTCAGGCAAAAGCCAGGGTAATAAAACAACTCACCTGCATATACATGCCACCCTTAACAAAAAAGGAGGTAAGGCACAGTGGCTCATCATGCCTGTAACCCTGACACTGTGGGAGGCCAAGGCAGGCAGACTGCTTGAGCCCAGGAGTTGAAGAACAGCCTGGGCAACATGGCAAGACACCTTCTCTACTAAAAACACAAAAAATTGGCTGGGCGTGGTACCATGTGCTTGTAGTACCAGCTACTCGGGAGGCTGAGATGTAAGCCTGGGAGGTGGAGGTTGCAGTGAGCCGTGATGGCACCACTGGGCTCCAGCCTGATGAAAGAGCAAGACCTGGCCTCATAAATAAATAAAAGAACTTTAAAAAAGAAGGATATTTTAGAGGGTAGAAATACAGGTCAAATGGGTGAAGCCAAGGGCCACAGAGAATTATCCCCAGGCCTTGAAACCTAATGGCTGAATTTTGAAATAGCTTGGAACCAGTGATTCTTTTTCTTCTCCTTTCATTTTCTCCCTTTTTGAATGGAAATGTCTACAACTATTCTCCAATGCCTATCCTACTCATTGTATTTTGGGAGTAGGTACCTCGCTTCAGGTGCAAAAGTGGGGAGGAATTTTGCCCCAGGATGAATCATACCCAGAGTGTCACATAAACCAGCTTTAGATAATTAAATGATGAAATGGGACTTAGGGGCTGATGATATTTAGATGACATTTTGGATTTTGAGTTGATTTTGCAATGGGTTCAGAGTTTGTGGGACCTTGGGATAGGCTGAATGTATTTTACAAAAGACAGATGTGAATCTTTAGGGGTCAAAGGGAAGACTCTGGTAGACTGAAAAATGCCCCCAACCCTACCCAAAGATATCTACGTCCTAATCCCTGTAACCTAGAAATACATTACCTTATATTCAACAGGAAATTTACATTTCCTTTTGTATTAGAGAATTAATTTGTATTAAAGTATTAAAGGATTACTTTAAGAGAAGTATTTTGAGATGGGAAGATTATCCTGAATTACCCAGCAAGGCTTGATACAATCATAAGGATCCTTATAAGAAAGAAGCAAAGGTCAAAGAGAAGGCAATGTGACAAAAGATGAAGGAGAGAGAAAAGGCAACATGATGCATGGCTGTGATCCAAGGACTGAGGATGGCCTTTAAAAGCCGGAAAAGGTGACAGTTCACAAGGACAGAAAACCAAATACCGCATGTTCTCACTCATAGGTGGGAACTGAACCATGAGAACACCTGGACACAGGGCAGGGAACATCACACACCAGGGTCTGTCGTGGAGTGGGGGGAAGAGGGAGGGATAACATTAGGAGAAATACCTAATGTAAATGACGAGTTAATGGGTGCAGCAAACCAACATGGCACATGTATACATATGTAACAAACCTGCACGTTGTGCACATGTACCCTAGAACTTAAAGTATAATTAAAAAAAAAAAAAAGCCAGAAAAGTCAAGAAGGTGGATTCCCCCAAGAGCCTACAGAAGGAGTCAGCCCTGCTGACACCTTAACTTTAGCCCAGTTGGGTGGATTTTGGTTTTCTGACCTCTAGAACTGTAAAATAATAAATACATGTTGTTTTAAGCTACTAGATTTGTGGTAACTGGTTACCTAAGCAACAGGAAACTAACAAGAATAGATACTAATTATAAGTGAATACTTAGGTAATAGTATGATCTATAATCTATACTTCACAAAGTATTTTATGAACATATACTAAATATGAATGTACAAATCCTAATTGCCCCGTTAGAAGTTCTTAAGTTTGTTACACAAAGACAACTATAAAAATTATATATTAGTGCAGGTATGCATATATTGGCTTTCAAATTTGAAGGCAGAAAGGAGAAAAAAAATGACATTTAGTGCAAGAGATCAAGAGTCTATTTCTATGTGTCTCATAAAAAAAGATTGTTGTAAGTACACTTAAAATTGAATTTAAGCCACTTAATTCTGGTGGCAACTGTGTTTTTCATCTTTATTTGTCACACCATGGTGTTGAGCACACCATTCTACACGATGTTGGTGTTCTTTAAATGTTTGCTGATTAAATAACTGACAATATATTAAAAAGAGAATGAGAAAAAGTTACAGCCCTAGCCAGGTTTTATTGTAAATTAGATACAGCTTTATTTCAAATTAGTCTACAAGGAAATTGATGCTAAAATAAAACAGATAATTATTCAAGTAGAAGTTTTTAAAAGTCCTCATAAGGTAAAACCAAAAATATATGCATATATACATAGAAAGGTTCAAGATGCAGATGGGCACACACACAAAATCAGTGTGCTTCACTATAACAATAACAAAATACACTCATAAAAATCATACCTGTCCTTAAAGTTGATGATATGGTTTGGCTGTGTCCCCGCCCAAATCTCAACTTCAATTGTATCTCCCAGAATTCCCACATGTTGTGGGAGCAACTCAGGTGGAGGTAATGGAATCACAGGGGCCGGTCTTTCCTGTGCTATTCTCGTGATAGTGATTAAGTCTCACAAGATCTGATGGGTTTATCAGGGGTTTCTGATTTTGCTTCTTCATCATTTTCTCTTGCTGCTGCCATGTAAGAAGTGCCTTTCGCCCACCGCCATGATTCTGAGGCCTCCCCAGCCATGTGGAACTGTACGTCCAATTAAACCTCTTTTTCTTCCCAGTCTGGGGTATATCTTTATCAGCAGCATGAAAATGGACTAATACAGTTGAAAAGGTCTGTACACAAATATAAATAAGTATAACTCCAGAGAGAGATGAGCCCTTCTAGGGTAGACAGACACTGATGGCTGCTGTCGCCACTGGGGCGTGAGTAGGCAGAAGAGCTAGCCTGCTACTGGCAAAGACATTTTGTTGGAATAAGAAGAATGAGCCACACTTGCGTCAGCCAAGCATGGGCTGGCATGGCAGATTGGAAAATGGAGAAACAGAGCTAACCCTCACTGCCAGCCAATTCTCCTTCATAATATTTCTGCTTACAAACGCTGGTGGTGGAAGAAGCTGGTAAGTGGATGGAAAGCAGAAAGAGATCCTGTGATCTCACATGGTTAGATCCCAAACTCTGCTGCAGGGCTAGATCTCACCATCAAGAGGAAAGCAGATGTGAAATTCAACTCAACTCCTGATTAGAACAAAAAGATCTGGCCTAGTCACCTTAGCAGCCAGAAGGTAGAAAGCATAAGACTTTCTGGGGATAAATTTTATCTACCTCAGTCTTTGTCCATTCAAACACAATTAAAAAAAAAACAAAAAGACAAGTGAAGCAGCAGGAAATATGTAAGCCATGATTAGGAAGGGAAAACAACCACAACAAAAGAACACTAGATAATCAAATGGTTGGAATTAACAGACAAGTACTTTAAAATAACCATTATGAGGCCGGGCGCAGTGGTTCATACCTGTAATCCCAGCACTTCGGGAGGCCAAGATGGGCAGATCACCTGAGGTCAGGAGTTTGAGACCAGCCTGGCCAACATGGTGAAACCCTGTATCTACTAAAAATACAAAAGTTAGCCAGGCATGGCAGTGTATGCCTGTAATCCCAGCTACTCGGGAGGCTGAGGTGGGAGAATTGCTTGAATCCAGGAGGCAGAGGTTGCAGTGAGCTGAGATCATGCCATTGCACTCCAGCCTGGGGAACAGAGCAAGTCTCCGTCTCAAAATAAATAAATAAAATAAAATAAAATAAAATAAAATAACCATTATGAATATGTGAAAGAATTTAAGGAAGAATGGATGAAATGGATGAAAAAATCAAGCATTTCAGTAGATAAATGAAAACTCTAAAAAGGAAGCAAATGCAAATTCTAGAATTGATAAATACAGTTATCTGGGGAATGATTAATTCACTGGATGGGCTTAATGGTTACTTGGACAAAACAGGAAAAAAAAAAAGATGAGCAACCCAAAGAGAAGACAATAAAAATTATCAAAAATAAAGCACACAGGAAAAGAAAATCGTTAATTAAAAAAACCTTTCATCAGAGTTCTATGGCATAGGATCAAATGGTCTAACATATATGCAGCTTCATTCTGAAAAATGAATGGAGTAGAATTGTTGGAAAAGATACTAGATGAGGGCTGGGCGCAGTGGCTCACTCCTGTAATCCCAGCACTTCGGGAGGCCAAGGCGGGCGAATCACAAGGTCAGGAGTTTGAGACCAGCCTGGCCAACATGGTGAAACCCCGTCTCTACTAAAAATACACAAAATTAGCTGGGCGTAGTGGTGGGCGCCTGTAATCCCAGCTGCTCAGGAGGCTGAGGCAGGAGAATTGCTTGAACCCAGGAGGCGCAGGTTGCAGTGAGCCAAGATCGCGCACTCCAGCCCAGGCGACAGAGTGAGATTCTGTCTAAAAAAAAAAAAAAAAAAAAGTACAAAATTGGTTCTCTGCTTAGACTAATAATATTGACAAATATCTTTTCTCTTGCATAAAATTTCTGAAGGTTTATGAACCCCTTGTGTGTTTATGGACCTCTATTTAGGAACTTCTTTTTTTTTGAGACAGAGTTTCGCTATTTTTGCCCAGGCTGGAGTGCAATGGCACGATCTCAGCTGACTGCAACCTCTGCCTCCTGGGTTCAAGTGATTCTCCTGCCTCAGTCTCCCAAGTAGCTGGGACTACAGGTGCGTGCCACCATGCCCAGCTAATTTTTGTATTTTTAGTAGAGACAGGGTTTCACCATGTTGACTAGGCTGGTCTCGAACTCTTGACCTCAGGTGATCCACCCGTCTTGGCCTCCCAAAGTGCTGAGATTAAAGGCATGAGCCACCATGCCTGGCCAGAACTTCTTTACAAATTCACATTATTTAAAATTCATGCAGCCATAAAAAAGAATGAGTTCACGTCCTTTGCAGAAACATGGATGAAGCTGGAAACCATCATTCTCAGCAAACTAACAGAGAAACAGAAAACCAGACACCACATGTTCTCACTCATAAGTTGGAGTTGAACAATGAGAACACATGGACACAGGGAGGGGAACATCACACACCGGGGCCTGTTGCGGGGTGGCAGGCAAGGGGAGGCAGAGCATTAGGACAAATACCTAATGCATGTGGGGCTTAAAACCTAGATGACGGGTTGATAGGCACAGCAAACCACCATGGCACACGTATACCTATGCAACAAACCTGCACGTTCTGCACATGTATCCCAGAACTTAAAGTAAAATGAAAATAAAATAAAATAAATAAAATAAAATTCAGTGGCTTTCAAGTACATGATCCTGTCGATCCTTGACAGCCATTTTTATTATTATCTATTCAGTTCTTGCAAGTCATCTTACCTGAAACTTCACCTTCTGATTAATGTTGGATACACAGAACTGCTTCAGGAAGCGCTCGTCCTCACACCAGAAGAGACGGATATCAGGGATGTCGTAGAGGATCATGGCTAGCCTTTCTAATCCTAGGCCAAAAGCCCAGCCGATTCGGTCTTGAGCACCAGCTGTGATTAGGAAACAAAATAGTTGTTTTTAAAAAGTATCGAGATTGGATAGGTTCATACCACTCCCTGACAGTTATCAGTGACACTAATTAGATGCCTACCAGCGGGCAAAGGCACTGGGCAGCCGCTACAAAGACATCCATGAGGGTGCCCAATCTTCCACGCTTTCTCATCTCCATATTCCGGACTGCCCTCATGAACGGATTCTGAAGTCATACTGTCTGGAGTACTGTCTTTCATTTCTGATTACATTCTAGGCTTTCTGAAGCACTGGTTCCTGAACTGAGTTATGATTTTTCTGTAGTCTTTGCTTGCTCTGATTCAAACATTTAGCCCACTGAATATAGGTTACAGAGTGGAAAGAAAAGACGGTCTCTGTCCTTAAGTGTAGTAGATAATGAGATACATTCAAAACATGCCATAGTGGCCATAACATGTTTAGAACGAACTTACATGAAGAAAGTACATACGTCATGCCTTTAAGAACCTCAGTTTTATTAAACACCATAATGCTTATTCTTACCAACAGCCACTTCAGCATTGCAGAGAACACAAGCAGGCCCAGACGAGGGGTATAACTAGCACCACCTACTCCAAAGGTACAGTGTCCTGCTCAGATTGTGTCAGTGCCATAAATTAGAAGGGTTTACTTCACAAACTGAGGCAGTGTAAAAGGGAAGATAGAAACTGCAGAATGAAGGCAGGCAAAGGAGCAGTTCACACTGCAGGAAAGCTTATGAAATGAGCTCATGAAAGGATATAATTCCAACTGGACACTAACAGATGAGTAGGATCCTGTGGTAGGCTGAGATGGCCTCGGAGACTCCCACCCCGCATGCACATGCCTTGTGTAAACTCCTCCCGTTGAGTATGGGTGGGATCTAGGAACACAATGGGAATTTAAGCCTGTGACTGCTTTACTTTTTATCTAGGACTCCATCTTGGCCGATTGGAGAGAGATCCACCTCCTGGCTGTGAAGAGGCCACATGGCTCGGGCCCTTGAGAAGTCCTAAAGGAGCTCAGAGAGGCACCAGCAGCCAGGGAGAAAATGGGAACTTCACTTCTACAGTGGGACGGAACAAATTCTCCCAATAGCTGGAGTGAGCTGATGATAGCACCCCAGCTTCAGAGTACACAGCCCTGCCTCTGCCTTGATTTCAACCTGGTAAGATCCTGATCAGGGGACCCTATCAATCCATAGCCAGGCTCCTCATGCAAGGATATTATGATATAGTCAATTCGTGCTATGTTAGGCCACTAAGTGTAATTTGTTACCCAGAAAAAAAAAAAAAAGCAAACAAACAAACATAACTAATCCAGATTCAAAATGTAGAGAAAAGTGATAGGAAATTCCAGACTGAAGGAGTTTCTTCAGTAGCAATGGGACGGGATGCAGCACGGGAAGGCTGAGGAGTGGATTCTGGAGATACAGGCAGGACTCGTCTCAACGAGCCACAAGAAACATTTTGTTCTCATTTCTACCTTGCATTTAATGTTTTCCTAAAACATAAAAAACTTGGCCAGGAGCGGTGGCTCACGCCTGTAATCCCAGCACTTTGGCAGGACAAGGCTGGCAGATCACGAGGTCAGGAGTTCAAGACCAGCCTGGCCAACAGTGAAACCCCGTCTCTACCAAAAGTACAAAATTTAGCCAGGCATGGTGGCGTGTGCCTGTAATCCCAGCTACTCGGGAGGCTGAGGCAAGAAAACTGCTTGAACCTGGGAGGTGGAGGTTGCAGTAAGCTGAAATTGTGCCATGGCACTCCAGCTTGGTCCACAGAGTGAGAAAAAAAAAAAAAAACCACCACCAACAACAGAAAACCCTTATAATTGTTTCACAAATCCCCATTCGCTCTAGCTGAACCAGAACATTCATGGAGCTTCAGGATTAGGTGTGCAAAGTCCAGGAGGGAAAAGGCTTCATTATAAGTGAAACACCAGCACCTGCGGTTATCACTTGGCATCAAGGCAATCATCAAGACAAATGGGAACACAGGCTATAAGCTACAGACAGATGGAGAGGCACTGGTCATTAGCAAAGAACTTTTTAAACATTTCCAGCACATCACAGGCTGATAATTTGGTCACATATAAAATTATGCACATGACATTCCACTCAACAACAACATAATTGACATTTTTTTCAAGTGTACATGGGTCATCCACCACCACAGACCATATTCTGGAACACAAAATACATTTCAAATATTTAAAAGGATTGAAATTGTACAAAAAAAGTTCTATGTCCAAATGCAAATAAATCAGAAATCAACAGAAAAATATCTGAAAAATCTCCCAAATATTGGGAAATTAAACAACATACTTCTCTAAGTAACACATGAGCCAAAGAAGTCATCACAAGGGAAATCAGAAAATATATTTAAATGAATAAAAATTAAGATATGACACATTGAAACTAGAACTCGTAAATTATTGGGTGGGAATGATAAAACCACTTTGGTAGTTTCAAAAACAGTTTGGTAGTTTTTTACAATAAACCAATATTTCTCAACTGGGGGCCATCTTAACCACCAGGGGACATTTGGTAAGGTCTGAAGACATTTTTGGTGATCAAAACTGGGAGTGGGGAGCATCCTGACATCTAGTGGGTAGAGGCCAAAGATGTTGCTAAAGATCCCATAATGGACGGAATGGTTTCCCACCACAAAGAATTATCCAACCCAAAACATGAAACAGAGAAACCCTGAATTAAACAGACACTTAGCATATGACAGAGCAATTCCATTCCTAAGTATTTACCTAAGATATGGAAACATGTGCACTGGAAGTCCAATGCAGCTTAATTCAGAATAGCTCAACCCCAAAACACCCAAAATGTCCATCAACCAGTGAATGGAGAAATTGTGGTATATCCATATAGTAGAATTGTCAAAGGCATCTGAACCAGAGTGACTCCATCTTGAGTAGGAGCTGGGTAAAATAAGGATGAGACCTGCTGGGCTGCATTCCCAGGAGGTGAGGCATTCTGAGTCACAGGATGAGATAGGAGGTCAGCAGGGGTGGTATCACAAGATACAGGTCACAAAAACCCTGCTGAGAAAACAGGATATGGTAAAGAAGCAGGCCAAAACCCACCAAATCCAAGATGGCGACAAAAGTGGCCTGTGGTCCTCCTCATTGCTGGTTATATGCTAATTTTAATGCATCAGCATGCTAAAAGACATTCCCACCAGCACAATGACAGTTTACAAATGCCATGGTAATGTCTGGAAACTACCCTATATACTCTAAAAGGGGGAGGAACCCTCACTTCTGGGAATTGCCTGCCCCTTTCCTGGAAAACTCATGAATAATCCACCTCTTGTTTAGCATATAATCAAGAGATAACCCTAAGTATTATGCAGTGGAACAGCCCATGCCACTGCTCTGTCTATGGAGTAGCCATTCTTTTGTTTCTTTACTTTCTTAATAAACTTGCTTTCACTTTACACTGCGGACTTGCCCGGAATTCTTTTTCACACGAGATCCAAGAACACTCTCTTGGGGTGTGGATCAGGACCCTTTTCTGATAGCAGAATATGACCTAGTAATAAAAATAACTTATTCCTATACAGAACAAAATACATGAATCTCAAAAGAATTATGTTTAACAAAAAGAGATTAGTCACTAAAGATTATCTACAATATGAATTCAATTCTCATGACATTCTAGACAAGGCGAAACTATAGAGACAGATAACAGATTGGTAGGACATAAGAGAACTTTTCCAGGAGATGGAAATTTTCTCTATCTTGATTGTGGGGTGTTTACATGACTGTATATATCCTTCAAAACTCATGTAGCTATGTTTTAAAAGTATGAATTCTGTTGTGTGTAATACTACTTCAACAAACTGGCATTTCAAACATACTACACTTGAATGACACGGCAGTACCAAGTCAAATTGCTGTAAGTTTCTCAACGGTTACTCTCAGCCTCTGTGGTTATCTCCTTGTGAACTGGAAACTGATAGTTTGTGGATCAGCACCATTCTGAGCACCACACTTTGAGGTGTAATGATTTAAATGATATAGAACATGCCAATATAGCTTACATATATATTTAAACCCACAAAGTTAAGACGTTCCATAGCAAACTCTTACATATTCTAAGTGCTGATCCATAGACCCCCTAGGAATCTGCAGACTGCAAGCTGAGAATTATGACTGGGAAAGAAAATATAACCCCTAACAACAGCACCAAAGGCCCCTCACACCTGGTGCTGGGCCCACCACCTCAGATTATCCACAGTTCTCTAAACATCATATGTCCTTGTCATAATATAGCGGATCTTCCTAACACTTGCCCCTCTCCTAAAGTAACCTGTCATGGTCCTCTAAAACTTCATTGAAGTATTCTGACTGTGAGATTCTTCCTCTGACCCTGAAGCATTAAGTTTACCTTCATTTCCCCGTGACAAACACGCTGTACATATTTCTATTAGCAACTATCACATTTACAAGTTTCTCTCCCCATCTAAACCTGAGAGTTCTGAGAAAACAGTCCCTACACAATGTCATACACAGTATTGACTACTCCATAAACGAGTTTTAGACATATATCTGTGCTAATGAGAAGAACATGTGCTTCCCACACAGTGGATTCTTTGAGTCACTCTCACAGCACAAAGCTGAAGACACGACAGTGCGAATGAATGATGTCTCAGAGAAAAGCAAAAAAGGGCTGGTGTTCTGAAAAGCAAAGTTTACACGATGTTCACAATTAAGGGTTGGGAGGCTAAAGGCGTACGGAAGAAGAAAAAAAGCACTAAATGCTTCATTCATTGCTTGCTAGACACTGAATACCAGTTTCACAGATGAGAAATGGAAATGATCACAAAATGCTCAGAAGTAACAGCATTGAAGGGAATAAATACCATCTAAAAGGTAAATCTACATTCTATTATGTTTGTCAAAATAGAAATATCAGAAACAATAAGAAATAAAGGTATGAGTCCAAAATCGAATTATCATAAAGTTATGGAAAAACAGAGAAATTTCCCATTTGCTATCTTCCTCCCAGCTGAGCCAGGGAGCTGCCAAGCACAGCAGTCCTGAAGAGGCCGGACCCACGCATGCACTGCCAAGCGGGACAGGTGAAAAACATGGCTCAGGTAAAGGGCGAACGAACTTCACATAAGAGGGAGCCCCATGGTTGCCATGATGATGGCAGTCTAGGCTCCACTGTAATATGTCTCAGAGTAAAGGAGGACTTGCTTTTCCAGACTGATGTGGCACGTCTTCTGAATGGAGCAGGGTGAGACGGAGCAGAGGGAGCACCGCCAGCTGGAAATCACATCTGCAGAACACGGCGAGGGGAGGCTGGGCTGTCCTGTGTGACGAGGTAAGCTGCACACTGGGAGTAATGCTGATGATGAGAATTCAGTTTTTCGCATTTGAAATGGCCACAAGAGATAGTTGCTCCTGCCATTCCATTACTGCCATACAGAATGGCTTAACATCAATGAGTCTTAAAATTAAAGTCATTAATCACATTGGCTAATATCCAAGAATTCACTGAAAAGATAAAAACAGTTACCTTCACAAATACAACTTCCAATTGCTTTTCTCAGAAGGCTCACTGCAAAGCTACACTGCTAAAAGTCAGATGTTCTAGAGCTGGTTTATTAGAAATGTAGAAATGGTTGGCCGAGTGCGGTAGCTCACACCTGTAATCCTAGCACTTTGGGAGGCCAAGGCGGGCAGATCACGAGGTCAGGAGATTGAAACCATCCTGGCTAACATGGTGAAACCCCGTCTCTACTAAAAAAATATATACATATATATATATATACACAAAAAAAATTAGGTGGGCATGGTGGCGGGCACCTGTAGTCCCAGCTACTTGGGAGGCTGAGGTAGGAGAATGGCGTGAACCAGGGAGGCAGAGCTTGCAGTGAGCCGAGATCGTGCCACTGCACTCCAGTCTGGGCCACAGAGCGAGACTCCTGTCTCAAAAAAAAAAAAGAAATGTTCACTGGCCTAAGTGGATGATTGGCAGGACCACACTGAAAGGTTGATGGGGGAAAGGAAGGCTGATGGTTGTGCTGGGGATATGCGTGACTCCAGGGCCTCAGTCCCATGTGGCTGTCAGTAGGGACACCCTCTTCTAAAGAGAGGAGACTGGCTCTACCTGAGAGGACCCAGTGCTGAGGTGACTGAGGGGGTCATTCCCGCGGGCACATAAAATCCCACCACCTGTGTGTCAAAGCTTATGGACCAGACCCTCATGGGGAACAGAGAGCAACTGGACTTCAGCTGCCTACCACTGCCTACAACCTTTCATTCGCATAATCATCCTAATAAAAAGTTTGCCTGTGACAATCAATTTTCATGGAGGGTTGCAAGAAAGGATACGGTGTCCATTTGCTGAGTTGCATCAAATTTTACCTTTAAAACATTTTGTTTTGGTTCCCTTTCGATTTATTTCTTCTGAATCGCACCCCTGCATTGTGTCATTGGCCTATTCCATCAGTAAGACAATACTGGCGACTCCTGTGAAGGACGTGACCACTCTATCATATAGTTTTCTGTAGGAGGCTTCAGGAAATAAATTGATCTTAGATTTAAGAAAATGACTTCGGATCTTGGGAACAGAAAAGGCTTCCTTTTCTTGACAACTGGATTTTTTTAATTTTAAGGATGCCATGTGCTACATAATCGGTCAAAATTCACTTTTTACTTTGGCCCCATCGGAGCTTAGAGGCAACCTTGGAGGCCACCTCTACAACTGCACAACTGTTCAGGGTACATTTCTCTTTGTGACTTTTGCTCCAGTTTTATTTTCTTATCCGCATTTCCTCTTTGCCCTGATTATCTCAACTATTTATTTTATCCTCGGGTATGTACTTTAATAAGGCACTTCAAATTCTTTATGGAAGAAAGTGAGTCATAAATACATAGACACTTAAAGGTACTGTCAACCAAGGTAGGTATAATTTTCAGGTCTTTGGCACTCCTCAGCTGTAATTTGTTGCCAAGTACCCAGGTCTGACAGGGTTTTAAGGCAGTATTTTTTTTTTTTTTTTTTGCCTCATTCCAAAACTAGTGAGTTCCAGTAAACTAGAGTCACCAGAGTACAGAACTCACTGTGGAGGAATGTTCCCAATTAGACAGAATATGCAGGATTGGAAGCAGTTAGGCATTTTGACTAATGAAAGTCTGTACAGTATTGAGCATCCCATGCAAGAACATTTTTTGTATTTATAATTGTTGAAAATCTTCCTAAGAGGGCGAGCCTATGCACAGAAGCAAAAGATGTAAGAGAAGAATCCAGAGAAGGGAAACTTTAAAAAAAAAGGAGAGGAGAAAGTGGAGGAGGAGGAGAATGGCAATAGAAAAGAGGACAGTGAGAAGTTATCAGTGTGAAAGGACAGTAACAAAATTTATCTTAGAACTTGAAAGATTCTAATCCCACAGGGCGACCCTTCTAAGCAGCAGCTGGCTCTACAAGCTCTGCCTCTACAGCGTCAGAGAGGGAAGCATTTGCAAAGGAAAGCCCAAAGCACAGTGCTTCTGCATGTGGCCTCTTGTCTGCATCTCCAACTCGAGAGGAAGCCCGGGACATCTCCAACTCGAGAGGAAGCCCGGGACATCTCCAACTCGAGAGGAAGCCCGGGACATCTCCAACTCGAGAGGAGGCCCGGGACATCTCCAACTCGAGAGGAGGCCCGGGACATCTCCAACTCGAGAGGAGGCCCGGGACATCTCCAGCTCGAGAGGAGGCCCGGGACATCTCCAACTCGAGAGGAGGCCTGGGACATCTCCAACAGGAGCGCAGCTCTGTGTAGGGTCTGGGGTGGAGAGGGAGCAAAGAGCACTGTGGCAAGACTAAAAATAAATGTTATTGCTCAATGCCATCCCTTCAAAGGCACAGGATGTCTGTGCTGTCTGTGGAAGGCACTGGGGAAGGGGTAGGGATACTTCTCAAACCTCTATCCCCAGAGTCCTTAGTCCTGTACAGCATCATGCAGGAAAAGTACACTTCAAAACTGGAGAAAGAGCTGAGAATGGCCAGGTGTGGAATATGAAACTGGGGTCTATATGCAAGCAGCAGTGTACTTGGGTTGTATCAAGGCAAGTGCAGCCTGTATGCCTTCAGCTCAGGGTGTGTGATGATCCTGAGCCACAGAAAAAAAGGGTACCTTTATACCATTATACTTTCATCAGTCAACGCTAGAAGGTGAGTAATTGTGGGGGGAAATTAAGTTTCAAACAGTGTCTGAAATGTACATGATTATCTCTCAACTTCCAACAAAATTAGCTTTTCAGACTAATCCTTTCTGAAGATTTAGAACAAGTTGTAAGGCAAGTGGTGTTTAAGTGAAGCCAGATGTAACTTCTTGTGCCTATTCAAAGAAGCTTCTACAGTGAGAAGATCTTTCTCATTCTCTCCTGAGAAACCTGGAAAGACAAGTACTCTTTTATCTATAATTCTAATCAGTGACCTATTTAACCTTTTGGAGACAGAGTAAAATCCTTACTTGAGAACATAATTTACACCAGGCTACATGGACACCAGGCTACATTGGTCAGGTCCAAACACATCAATCTTTCAGAGATGAAATATAATATTTATTTTGATTTTCATTGTACTTGTGGCTATGAATGAGAATGTAAAGGGATTAGAGTATCAACATATTAATATTCTGCATTCTTGACCTCCTTATAGGGTTCTGCTTTTTTATCTTCACCATACTAATAAGTGGCAGAGCTTATTTTTGACTTACTTATAAAAAAGGAAGGACATTCCCAGCAGACACTCCTATTTTTTCAGAACTTATAACATGAGAATGAAGAAAGATGAATTAAAACCAAAGAGATAAATTAAAATTAAAGAGATAAATTAGGCCAGGCACGGTGGCTCACGCCTGTATTCCCAGCACTTTGGGAGGCCGAGGTGGGCAGATCATGAGGTCAGGAGATCGACAGTGAAACTCCATCTCTACTAAAAATACAAAAAATTAGCCAGGCATGGCGGGAGCCTGTAGTCCCAGCTACTTGGGAGGCTGAGGCAGGAGAATGGTGTGAACCCGGAAGGTGGAGCTTGCAGTGAGCCAAGATCGCGCCACTGTGCTCCAGCCTGGGCGACAGAGTGAGACTCCGTCTCAAAAAAAAAAAAAAAAAAAGATAAATTAAAACTAGAGGTTTAAAGTAAAGATAGTTTCACAGGGGCTCACTACAAGAAAGCCACATACCAATATCTCTTATGAACATAGATGTAAACTCCTCAAGAAATTACCAGCAAACCAAATTTAGTAGCACATTAAAAGGATCATATACCATGATCAAATGGATTTACCCCAGGAGTGCAAGCAAGAATGGCTCAAAATATAAAAATCAATCAATGTAATATACTGTAACAATAGGATAAAAGAAATAAAACCCACATAACCATATCAATTGATACAGTGAATGCATCTGACAAAGTCCAACACCCTTTCATGATAAAAATATTCAATAAACCAGGAATACAAGGGAATGCCCTCAACAAAATAAAGACAATGTGTGAAAAACCCACAACCAACATCATACTCAATGGTGAAAGTTGAAAACTTTTCACTCATTCCACTTAGATAAATTTCACTTAGATCGGGAACAAGACAAAGATGCTCACAGTCACCGCTACTAGTCAGTATAGCACTAAAAGTTGTAACCAGAGAAATTAGGCAAGAAAAAGAAATAAAAGACATCCCAACTGAAAAAGAAGAAGTAAAATTATCTCTATTTGCAGATGACATAATTTTATATGTAGAAAGCCCTGAAGAATCCACACACAAAAAGCTGTCTAAACTAATAGACAAATTCAGTAAAGTTGCATGATACAAAATCGACACATAAAAATGTTGCACATATTTACATTTCTATACACTAACAATGAACAATCTGAAAAGGAAATTAAGAAAACAATTGCATTTACAAAAGCATCAAAAATAAAGTACTTCGAAATAAATGGAACAATAGGCAAAATATTTGTACCTTGAAAACTATAAAATGTTACTGACAGAATTTTAGGAGATAGACAAATGGCCAATAAGCTCATGAAAAGATACTCAACATTATCAGTCATCAGGGAAATATAAATACAAACCACAATGAGATACCACTTCACATCTACTAGGGTGGTTATAATAATGAAAATAATCATAAAAAGTGTTGAGAAGGATGTGGAGAAACTGAAACCCTGTGCATTGCTGTTGAGAATGTAAAGTAGCGCGGCTGCTGTGGAAAGCAGTTTGGCAGTTTCTCAGAAAGTTAAACACGAATTTGACCATATCACCCAGCAATTCTCTCTCTCAGTCTCTGTGTGTGTGTGTGTGCGCGTGCAAGTGTGTATGCGTGCGTGTGTGTGCGTGCATGTGTGTGTATACATATGTGTGTCTCTATATATGTATATATGCCTCTGTGTGTGTATCTCTAAAAGAACTGAGTAAAGGAGCTCAGACACTTGCACACCGATGTTCATAACAGCATTATTCACAATAGTCCCAAGGTGGAAACAACTCAAGTGTCTGTCAACAGATGAATGGATAAACAAAATATGTTACTTACACACAATGGAATATTATTCAGCCCTAAAAAGGAATGAAGTTCTGATACATGCTACAGCATGGATGAACCTCAAAAACAACAGGCTAAGTGAAAGAAGCCAGGCAAAAAAAAATCTAAGCTTTCCCTTACGTGAAATATCTTGAACAGTAAGCAGATTAGAGGTTACTAGGCACTGGAGGGAGCATGGAATGGGGAGTTAATGCTTAATGGGTACAGAGTTTCTCGTGGAAGCGATGAAAATATTTTGGAGATAGATAGTGGTGATGGTTGCACAACACTGTAAATGTTATTAATGCCACTGAATTGTACACTTAAAATGGCTTAACTGGCTAATTTTATATTATGTAACATTTTATCACAAAAAAATAAAATCTCAGAGGATGTAGATATTTAAAATTTTGAAGAAAGTTTTCATGTGTTCGTCACTTTCTGAAAGGAAAACAACATACATATATTTTTTCTCATCACCACATCTGTCTCTGAAAACACTGAGATACACTAATTGAGCCATTATACCACCAATCATTTCAATGGACTTCAGCTTTTTCTCTCATAAAATGAAGAACAGCAATGATAGGGTGTCTCAAGTCCCTCCCAGCTCTGAACAGTGTATGATTTGGCTCAGTTTAGAAATAGTTAACTAAGGTTCTATTCTAAATCTTCCTTAAGGAAATACAAACTACTGCAGAATAATTTTGCTTAACATTTCACAGCGTAACAAAAGGTATCTGCCAACTGCTCTCTCTCCTCTTGCCACCGGGTCCCCTTAAAGCCTTGAGACATACAGGTACATTCAATGTCACACCCCTTTTGGGGCAGTCATGTCCGGGGTAACGGTCTTCCATCTGTTTCAGGTCCCTGTTTCAACATCCCCTTCTCAGTGAGGTCTCCCAGCCATCCACTTGAAAATTGTAAACCTCTCCATCAACCTACTCTCCCAAACCCCCTCAACTCTGCCCTCTTTTCCTCAGAAAATATCTTCTAATACGCTACAGCCTTTTCATTTACTTATTGTTGACCTTCAGACTCCCCTGCTAGCCTGCAGTGCATGAGGGCAGCATCTTCACTGGTTTTCGTCACTGATCCATCTCGAGTGGCTGGAACACTGGCACATAGCAAGTGCTCAGTAAATATTTGCAAAGAAACAACAGAATAGTATGGTAGGAAAGGTTTCAAGATTTTCCCACTTTTTAGTTTACTTACTTAATTTAAATGGATAGTATTCCGAAGAATTTCATACTTTAAGTTTTCAATACAAGTGATGACTTTCTTTAATTTTGTATCTGTGAGAGATTTTATCTATCATATTATAAAGTGATATTTAACAGTAGTGATATTGGGGGTGCCATTTCTGAAAAGATATCTCAGAAAGGAGAGAATTGGAACACACAAAGTAACAGAAACAAGTGAATATTCTATTCATTGACCCCTACCTTGGTCACCATTCGCTGAGTTCTACTGTATACAGGGCACCAGCAGGCACAGCGTCGCAAGTCCCCTGAGGCCCAGGATCTTATCACCACTTCTGCTTCAACATTCTGTCTTTCTATTTTATTTTCCTCCCCAATGACTGAGCTCTGGAAATGCAAACAGCCCCTGCATCCTCAGGTTTCTCCTCATAGGTTGTTTTGTTACAAGAGACAAGTGAAATGCTTGAACTACTACATATTGAAAAAAAAAAGTTTTGTATTATTGTAAGTATATTTTTCCTTCCTTGTCAAAAGGGTTGACTTCTAGGAATTCTTCAATTTAATGAACTCGCATGTTTCCAAAACAACTGCTACAAGGAACACTAAAACAACCTAGCAATTAACATTCTTCTTCTTCTTCTTCTTCTTCTTCTTATTATTATTATTATTATTACTACTACTACTTTTGAAACAGAGTCTCACACTGTTGCCCAGGATGGAGTGCAATGGCACAATCTTGGCTCACTGCAACCTCTGCCTCCCAGGTTGAAGCAATTCTCCTGCCTCAGCCTCCCGAGTAGCTGGGATTACAGGTGCCCATCACCACACCCTGCTAATTTTTTGTATTTTTGGTAGAGACAGGGTTTCACTATGTTGGCCAGGCTGGTCTGGAACGCCTGACGCTGTGATCCACCCGCCTCGGCCTCCCAAAGTGCTGGGATTACAGGCGTGAGCCACTGCGCCCAGCCAACATTCATATATTACAGAACTTCACCAATGACAAAGAACTTCACCTATATTATCTTGAGTTTTATCCTCACAATGTTCCTATGGGAAATGTCAAACTGGTATCATCTATGTTGAAAAGATAAACAGTGTTCGAGCAAGATCACATAAACATTGGGACTTGAATTTATGTTTTGACTTTAAGTTTACACCCAGTAGATGTTCCCCTAGATTCATGCTGAAACATTAACTGAGGACGGCTATGTTCAAGGTATTTCAAAACATCAGGAAGTGCTACTGACATCTGTGTGCTTTCTATGTTGTCATTGCTGATTTCCTGGTTGACTATAATTATTCCACGAAAGCCAGTAAAATGGTTTGTGTAGGTAGGTGCTCACATAACAGTAGATTTCTCTTCTGAATGTTGGGTTTTATCGTTCCAAAATGACTTTCACGCTAGATTTGACTGTAATATACACACAAACCTACTGAGTGAACTGATGGGTCTAGTAGTTAGCAGTGGTATTGAATGAAGGCATCCACGTCCCTTGATTGTTAGTTACAATGATGGACATGCAGGAATAAAAGCACTGCAGTATCCTGTTGAGACACTGCACATCCAGAAGCAGGCCTAGAAAGGTCAGCACAGCTAGGTAAATTCCGATTTCTTCTCTTCCAACCATGCATGTAGTCCTTCATCCCCTGCTTTCCAGTCACGATACTTGAACTGCTTCCTCGGAGACTCGCCACCGGATGATTGACTTTCCAAGCTCTGCCCAAAGATCAATCTCCTGCCTGAAACATTTCTCCAGCTGTATATATCCTTGGCCCCAAACACTCTGTCAAAAAGTGCTTCACCTAATCCAAAGGCAGACCTCTCTTTTAAAAGAAAGCTTTTCATGGTACAGAGCAGACTGTGGATGAGAGTCTCTGGGTCTTACAAGCAGTGTTCTTTAATACGGTCTGAGCTGGATGGCATTCTAATCAACTTACTGCAAAAAACTTTCACAACCATCTCAAAAAAACTCACTTTGGACCATCCCCTTTCCTTCCTGAGTCCTAGATTTTGGTTCTCTGGAGTTTAATAAAGAAAACTGCAGTGTCTGAAGCACGTGCTAATGAGCAGTGCATGAAGCAATTCCCAACGGTCCTGCGCAGTGAGAATCCTCCTTACATGGAATGTGTAGAAAGTGTTGGTCCCTCTTTCTCTGCAGTTTGGACAGTGATGCACCACCCCCTGCAGGGGCTTGACTCCCACTCCCCACCATTTTCCAGTGACTGGCTGAGGGGAGAGCATGGCCAATGAGATGTGAGTGATATAAAATATAAGATATACGTGAAAATCTGCTAGGATGCTCATAGGCAAGAGTTTCTTTTCAGAAAAAAAGGCCCTTCTGAACTACTTCCTTCTTTCTTCCCACATCAGATGCTATCACTCAAGAATATAATGCCTGGAGCTGCAGTAGCTAACATGTGACCAGGAGCAAAAAGCTGGAGATCAGCAGCCCTGTATTTATATTGACATTTATTAATATTTATAATCTATGTATAAATTATATATTTAATTATATATTTATACATTATATAGTTATACATAGATTGTAACTATATATCCATTGATATATAAGTATAAATATATATCTATTGATATATTTATAAATATATCTCCATTTATATATTGATATATTTGTCAATATATAGTTCTATATTATACAATATATGAAATATTTATATATAAATATATAGTTATATATTTGATATTAATACAAATATATAGCTATATAGATATTGTTATTGTTATATATATTTTATATTTATAAATATAAATATATAAATATATTTTTAAATATTACAATAATTTAAGTCATCTGAGAGTAGGTTACATACATCATGCTCCTTTACCACTGAATACTTCTGTGTATACTTCCCAAGAACAAAGATATTCTCTTATATATCCATAGTACAGTTATCAAATTCAGGATATTTCACATGGATGCAATAACCCCACCTTATCTGCAATCCATATTCAAATTTTGACATTTTTGCCAATCATGTCCTTGTAGCATTTTTTCCCTCCCATTAAGGATCCAGTTGAGGATCACATATTGTACTTACATATCATGTCTCTTTAGTCTTTATTAATCTAGGACCATTCCCTAGCTTTCCTTTATCTTATAAGACATTGACATTTTGGAGAATCCTGGCCGCTTGTTTTATAGAAATGTTCCTCAATGTGAGGTTACCTGATATTTCTTCATGATTGGATTCAGGTTCTGGACCCCAGCTGTAACACTACAAAAGTGCTATGATGTCCTTCTCCAGGTGACACATCTGGAGACCCCGATGCTTACTTATTCACTTCAGAGCTCCTCTAGATCATTTATTTTTTGCTGTAAAACCAACCACCCCAAAACTTAGTGGTTTAAAACAACAACTATTCACTTAGCTCAAAGTTGGCTGGCCCTTTGGACTTAGGTGGAAAGTTCTTCAGCTCTCAGCTGGGTTTACTCATGCATATGTGGCCTGCCGGAACTCACATGTCTGGTGTTGGCTGCCTGCTGGCTGGGGCAGTTTGGTTCTCTTACATCATCCAACCAGCTAGCTTGGGCTTATTTATGTGGTGGTTGCAGGGTTCTAATTGCATCAAGAGAGCAAGCCCCAGGGTGCAATCACCTTTCATGCATCTGTTTTCATCATGTTTGCTACTCCCCTGATGGGCCAAAGCAAGTAACAGAGCCAAGTCAGATTCAAGAGGCAGAGAAAGACTGTCTACTCAGCCATTAAAAAGGCTGTGAGAAGCCATTAGAGTGGCTTATCTTGCAAAGTCTGTTCAGCTGCTTTACTCTAATATTCATTTACTCATTCAAATGATAATTACTGTGACTTAGGCTGGGCACAGCGGCTGACACCTGTAATCCCAGCACTTTGAGAGGCTGAGGCAGGTGGATCACGAGGTCAAGAGATTGAGACCATCCTGGCCAACATGGTAAAACCCCGTCTCTACTAAAAATACAAAAATTAGCTGGGTGTGGTGGCAGGCGCCTGTAGCCCCAGCTACTCGGGAGGCTGAGGTAGGAGAATCGATTGAACCCAGGAGGCGGAGGTTGCAGTGCGCCGAGATTGTGCCACTGCACTGCAGCCAGGCGACAGAGTGAGACTCTGTCTCAAAAAAGAAAAAAAAGTTACTGTGACTTGTTTTTGTACAAAAAATGTGATAGATGCTTTCTGGCAAACAATACCATATAAAGGAAGGAGAAAGAAACATTGACTTGCTCATCACGAGTCAGAAAATATGACCTCATTAATTACCACATCAACTCTGTTAGGTCACTATCACTAGCTCCATTTTATAGATAAGAAAACTAAAGTTTAGAGAGTTTAATTTGTCCTAGATTATACAGCTATCTAGAAATAATTTTGGCTGCAAGCAATAGAAAACTCTATTAAAAGTGATCTAAATAAGAGACATTTAATTTCCATAAAAAGGATTCTGAAGATAGGCATTTCCAGATTTGGTACAGGAGCAAGAGGATGCCACTGAAGACCCTTGCTCTTTTTATCTTTCTGCTCCAACATCCTTAGCAGGTCAGCTTCCATTATTATTATGGTAATTTCATAACTACAAAATGGCTGGTCGATCTCCAGTCACCACGTATCAGTCAGGAGGAAAGCAGGAACAGTTCCAGTGTGCATGACTTACATACCTGTTGCTTTTATAGGGAAACACAAGCTTTCCCAAGGGTCCCCAACTGTCTTACATTTCATTGCTCCAAACTGGTTTGCTTGACCACCCTTAGATTTAAAGGATGTGAAGAGCATAAGTGCCTGGCTTTTCCAAACTCTGGAGTGGATGTATGTAAGGACAAGTGGTGCTAGGACTGCCACTGAGTCAGTCAACCAACAGCAAGCAAGTGCTCGATCTGGGATGTGAACCCAGGTATGCGTAACTCCATAGTTCAAGCTTTCAAGGGATGTTTACTTTGAAAGCAGAGAGAGAAAGACCTATAAATACATATGCAAATCAGTGCCATGAGTGTTAGAAATTAGGTTCTATGGGGTGACAGAAGAAGAAGAGGTCACTTTAAACATCCTGAACATGGATGTTTTGGAAAAGTCAGTCAAGTATGGTCTTAAATGACATGTAGGGGTTTTCAAGGTGAACTAGGCACAATGACATATATGTACCTGTAGTCCCAGCTACTCAGGAGGCTAAAGGGGGAGGATTACTTGAGCCCAGGAGTTCAAATCCAACCTTGGCAACAGAGTGAAACCTCCATCTCTTTTTTTTTTAAATACAAATTTTAAAAAAGGTAAAGATCTTCCAACAAGAAGGAAAAGTAAACACAAACATACGAAGATAGAAATGTGAAATGAAGATGAATTGACCAAATTGGGATAGGGTATTGCAGAACCTTTTGAAAACGTAAAGGGAATAGTTATGCCTTGCTTAGCATTTATTAATAGTTAAAGGCTAAATATACTGACTTGCATATGATCTACCAAGGACTCACATACCACCTCCTACATCTCCCTTTGACTAGCCCCCAGTACAGCATTATGTCTTTCATCCTTTTCCCTCAAATTTCAATCTAAGTTCCTGGAACTCAGAATTAAGTATTGTTAAGCAGATCATTGCAACAAACAGTTTTCATTCAGCAAAAGATACATTTCCTAACAGTTTACCAGTCTTGAACAATTTCCATTTTTCAGATAGAAGTTGTTTTTGTTTGATTGTTTGTTGTGGTTTGTTTTTAGTTGCTTGAATTGAATTGCATACAGAGCTTCAGGGAACAATATATTCCCCCAAATTTATAGGCAAGACTTTAAAAATCTGAGTGATATTTTAAGTGCATTAAAATGATCATTATTCAAATAATCACTTTCAACTTAATGTGCATTCTTCATATATCAGTTTTTATAATGTGAGTCATATCCATAAGAGGAGTTTGAGGAAACACTGTTGAAACATTGTACAGAGTTGTGAGTGTTGGGAAATATTTTCATTTACTTCAACTGTATTATTAAATTCCTTATTAACAAGAGTTATCAAAACTAGGCCACAAGTAGAAAGCTAACTAGAGTTTAGTGAGTTCACTACAGTAAAAATAAGTCTTTCGGAAAGAATAGAGCAGAAGGGAAAGGAAATTGAATAAATCCTCTGAGCCAAAATTATGGAGACACTATGACTGTAGGAGATATGCCGTTGGACGGCAGGGTCAACGCAGTCCCTCTGACAAATGCCATGAGACTTTATTGCTGTGATTCCACTCACAAAATAGACTTACAGGGTCAGTTCCAGCTTGGGAGAAGCACTGGCCCAGCACATTGCTGACTGGTGAGAATATAACCGAAGAGTTGACAGAAAGAAAAAAACAGTGGATATAGCAGTTGAATAACTTTTATGTATATCTATATAATACTGTATACATTAAGAAGACTGTCTGATTCCTTCCTGAGTGTGGAGAATACGAAAACCCACTGATAAACCTTTTAAACACTTTCACCCCTTGATGAAATTCTTGAAGTATTATGGTACATATACTTATCTGTTTCTTTCTGTTAAGAAACCAGGCATAGGCCAGACGTGGCGGCTCACACCTGTAATCCCAGCACTTTGGGAGGCTGAGGCGGGCGGATCATCTGAGGTCAGGAGTTTGAGACCAGCCTGGCCAATATGGTGAAATCCTGTCTCTACTAAATACACAAAAATTAACTGGGTGTAGGGGTGGGCACCTGTAATCCCAGTTACTCGGGAGACTGAGGTGAGATAATTGCTTGAACCTAGGAGGTGGAGGTTGCAGTGATCCGAGATCCTGCCATTTCACTCCACTGGGCAACAAGAGCGAAACTCCATCTCAAAAAACAAAAAAGGAAAGAAAGAAAAAAGAAAAAAGAAACCAGGCATAATAGTGGCTTTCATATCTCCACTAGAAAAATTGCTTTCCAAAATAAAAGTTAATAGTGCTCTATTTCTTGTCACACTGTTATAATTTTTTAACCAGGAAAGGAACTTAATTTAGAGTAAGTAATGCCACTGTCACTTAAATATATGAATGATAAAAGGGATCAGCTGCTCTAATTCCATAATTCCCAAGTAATGACAATTAATGAAATACTTTTTACTAGAGGGAGTTGTTTTAAGCAGTAGATAAAGGAGTCATTGAGCCTTTTAAGATTTATTCTCATAACCAAATTGCATCTCTCTTCATCATTATCCAAAACATAATTAAAAGATGACATTTAAAAACAAACTAGAAAATCAAACTGCATCTCACTCCCAAAGGAAAAGCAACTGAGAGACAACTCTTTCCTTCCACTTGAGCGCTGAGAGGAATTTGAGAGAAACTCCCATCTCTAACTTCTAACTTTTGTGCTTCAGCTGTGGCTCTGGAGCACCAATCTCACGTATCAATACAGGAAACACTGGATAATATTATCATTGAATCTTATTGGATAGATACTAATTGAGTAGTTTCACTGCTGCAGAAATATTCTTCAACCTTTCCAAAAAGAAAACAAATCAATAGGGTTACCTTGTAAAGACGTCTGTTTTCTCCCTCAGTTTGCTTCAGTAGCGTAAAATTTATTGAGTTGCACATTTGTAGTCTTCCTGTTAGAGCATCTATTTTACCAACTATCTACACCAACAGAAAAGGCATCTTTTAATATTTGCCCAAACACAAAATTCAGTGGCCTCTATAACTCCTTGGCTGAAGCCAAGTTAATTATCAATACACAAAATTTCTGAGAGAAAGTTAAACATCTTGATCCAATCTATTCCCAAGTATCTTAAGGGCAAGTAACTAAAACCTAGGCAAGCTCTTTGAACTGCTTTTTCCTCCTTATTTTTAAATCTTAATCTACTAGTTTCTGTTCCCCTCATTGACACTCACACAGTTTTCTTTATAAGACTTAACTCTAACAAAGTGTTTGCTACTGGAGGGCACATCCCTTATGAAGCTACGGTAATCAGAGGTTGATTAGAGGCATGTGGTCAATGCCACGCTGGAATTCTCCAGGGCCTGAGCCTCTCAGCTGTGTGCAACTACTTACAATAAAACCTGGAAATGCATGAATCATGTCGCAACACAGTCCTGAAGGGGCACTCTTCATTCACTGTGTTATGAAATATGCAACAGTCGGCAATGCTACAAAATGCCAGCTACTGATTTCCCACAGCAGGAAAGCCAGGGATGGAATAATAATCTAACCATAACAATAAGTCACTAATAATATTAAAAATACACCAAATGGATTTCTTTCTATCAACATAGAAAATAACAGTTTTTTTATGGGGGGAGCTCTGCTTGCTGGGAAGAATGCAGAAGCCAGGCAGAGATGGGAAGCAGAGGCTGTACGTCGGCAGCCATTTCTTTTCCAGGAATTTCAGAGGAAAGCGAGTGCCCGAGGAAAGAAGGAACACCACCCTTTTGCATTCTACAGAGGCCTATTTATTGGCCATTCCCTGCTCAGAGCTTCCCCAAGAAGCAATGCCAGCTCTTTAGTAGAAAGTAGAACACAGTGGTCTCAGGCCAGTGACAAAAAGCTACTGTAGAGTCACCAGGGTTTGCTTTCCTTCTCAGAGGAAAACTGGGCTCTAGCTAAGCTGCAGCCTCTTCCTGTCCTATAAGCATAGCCATACAGTTAGCTTAATCACACACTATTCACCTATCGAAAGAGTAGACGAGTTAAGAGCACAGACCCTGCAGCCAGACTAATCCTGGCTACACCATTTACTGGCTGGTGATCTTGGACAAGTTATTGAATCTCTCTCTGATTCAACTTCGCCATGTGTAAAGCAAGAATAATTGGCAGTACTTACCTCCTAGAGCTACTGTAAGGCCTAAATCAGTTATTACAGGGAAAGGGCTCAGAAGAGGACCTGGTGCAAAGGAAGGATTACAAAGGTACTTGTAAGTATTATCATCAGACAGCTCTGTGTAGATGCCAACACGTCAAGTAGCAATGAACATGCTCTGCTTTTAACTTGGGATTTGTCTTATGAATCTTCACTGTGAACAAATCACTCATATCCTACGTTAATACATCTTCTCTAAATCCTCTCATGTTCACACAGTAGCTTTTATTCTGCTTAGGGATTCTAGGATTCCCTGTAGCTTCCTCTGCCCAGGAAACCAAGGGCCTCTACATGACCAGCTCACTCTGTAGTCAGGCACTCAGTGCCCTCACAGTTCCTCTTTCCCACATATGCCCTTCATCCTTGAAACCCAGCACACATCCTCTTCCAAGTTCCCTCTCTCCTATGGGTCTCACTACTTTTAGTGTCTTATGGATTGCTCGCCTTAATATTTCCTTCCCATAGGTAACACTGCTATCTCTAAAGATGTGAATAGGAGTAGAATGTCAAGTGGTACATTCATTATCTATTGTCAGTAGAGGTTCCAAAGGCTAAAAAGAATAGAGGCTGGGCAGACTGTGAAACAGTGAGACCAGTCTTCTCATCACTCTCCTTTATGCTGTATTGGTAAAAACTAAGAATTCATCATGTTCTTGGAAACATGACCCCTTTGAAGAATTATCATTAGATAATTGCCTTTCCCTCACTCCTAGGGAAAAGAAACAGTGGCTCTCCCATCAAAGAAGTAGGGGGATTTGGGAAGCCACGTGGAGAACTTTGCATGTGTCTCCTTGGATTTGAGGGACCTAGAGACTAACCATCATCCATACCTGACAAACCCTAAAGGGTAAAGACAAAATGGAAAAGGCTATAGCAGTGCAGCTGAGAAAACACACACACAGGCACACACAGAAAGTGTGCTAGGTAACAGTAGAAAAATTGTGAGTTTGCTGTAGCCTAGATTGGCACCCAAGCACGCCGCAGCTGTCTGTGAGCCTCCATGAAAAGTGCCCTATGCATAAGGTCTGATGCAGCGGCTGAGCCGACCGCAGCAGAAAGAGCCCACAGGCATACCACTGAATACAGAGACCCTGAGCGGGGACCCAACCACCAGCCAGATATGACATCGCCCATGCCCGGGCTTCCAATCCAAAGTCACTAATGGGGAATCTCCAAGAAATCCACCAAAGCACTCCCATGAGAAAAAAAAAAAAAAAAGATAGCATATGTATACTGGTCACACCCATGCTGGTGGATTCCAACTCTACCAGTCAAAAAAGCCCTCTGTTGTCCTTGCCCTACTTCTCTTCTCCCTACCTGACCCTTCCCAGCTCACCACCACCATACCTCAAGCTTCTATGCCCGTGCAGGTGTTCTGAGCTGAAGGAGGGAAAGAAGCTTTAAATTAGACGGAAGACGGAAGCTTTGCCATTAGACTGGACTGGTCATGAAAATGACGAGGAAAGTTACAAGATCCCTTGAAATTTCACTCTGAATGAGGAAGACTCTGGCAGAACTCTGTGAAGGCAGTGGGATGTAAAAAATAAAACTATTCTAGAAGTTTACTTCCGCTGAGTCCAGCTCATTGAATGCAATGCTTATCACTATGTTTTACTTCAACCTTCCTTCTCTCCTCCCTTCATCCCAAATGTCTGTACTCAGTTCTCTTCTCCTTTCTATTTCGTTCGATCCCATATCTGGCCTTGTCTCCTTATGCCTCTAGCTAACAAATACTTGAAATATGTAAATACTTTATTCCTGGCTCAAATTAGAGTAGCACATCATGTTAAACTAAGTAGAAATAATGAAGAAAGAAAAATGAAAGAGATAAATGTGGGTTAAATAGGTCCAATTTCTCTATTTTTATTCCTTTCTTTCCAATGTTAAATCTTGCCAGAAAATTCATCCAGTTAGTCAAGAAAATGGCCACTCTTCCCAAGCAAATCCAATGCATCTTTTAGCCATGGCTACGGAATATAAGAAAGAAAACAGATGGAGGAGGAACTTAAAAGGACATTGGAATAGCGATGGATAAAAATAAGATATTGGTTGGCAAAGCCAAAAACATACTTCCGCTGGTCCGAGCACATGAAACTTCTATAACAAAATGTGCTAATGGGGCAAACCAAATTGGTATAGTTCATCTGTGGAACAATGATGCAGGCTGTCCCTTTCATCAACAAACTTTGTCAAGTCACATCTGGGCCAGTAAGAATGACCTACATGAGAGAAGATGCTGTATGAAAACCACATTCTCCTCTCCCTGGTCACAGAGGAAGCTGCATGGCCTAACCCCCTTGCAGACAGACTGGGGCCACATGACCTTCCTCTTGCTAGTGGCATCTAAGCAGACAGATAGACAGACTGTGAGCCCCTTCCAGGTCTGGGCTTGGGAGACCCTGCAGCTCTCCCTTCCCTTGCTGTGAGGGCCTTGGTGGTCATATGCTCCAGAGCTTATGACTGTGCATGGTGGACTCCACACTGGTCTCTCTCTGACTGAGAAATAAAGTGTCAATGAATTAAGTCACTTAAATTTCAAGGGGTTTATCTGTTAGCACAGAAGCGGCCTAGACTATCCTGACTATTAATCAGCCCTAACATTCTGGTACACAAGAGGAATCTGGAGTCACCAAAGAGTTACATAACCTCTGAATGGGACCAAACTCTTAAGGTCAATGACATTTTATCCTTGTCCTATAAAAATAATTTTGCTCACTAATTATATACTTTTCACTTAAGCTCTAGAGGAGGAGCTTTGCAGAGACTCGACCACTTATAAACAGTTATAAAGAAGATAATGTTCTTCAACAGTGCAAAGGTTCAATAAGCAAGACTGGTTAAAACATGAAAAAAGAAAATCCTTGAATGTCTGAGGACCTACACACTGAAACAGGTTACCCAGGGAGGTCGTATCACCATGAGTTCTGCAAGTCCCTATAATTAAGACTGACAATCATATACAGTCTTGCCTGTATCCAAATTTTAGTTAGTTTCCTGCATAGCTAGAGTCTTGGGTCTTGGCCAGAAGAGCTTTCCCGGCTTTATAATTCTTTGTTCAAGCAGTGGCTTTCTATTACAGGAAGAAAACAGAGGTAACTCTGGTGTGCATTCATCTGACAGCTATTTAGTGAGTGCTATCTATGTACGCATCAACACTGCACCCGTATGGGGACACAACAGGAAATAAAGAGCCCCTGCCTTTCCCTTTATACATTCACAGTCCAGCAGCTTTAGGGGCTATCCTCATCTTTTTTTTTTTTTTTCTTAGTAGAAAAAGACAAATATCATATATTGAACACAGCTTCTCAATTTGAGTGTCAACTGCCAACTGGTATTCTGAATACTGAATGTTATCAAATGTCAGTACAGAATTTCCCACTGCCTGGCAGCACCAAAACCTAAATCTTACATAAAACCTCAAAAGAAATCATCAGGATCTTCTTCAAGGCCCTAGGATTCAATTCTTTCAGAAATGTGTTCTTTGAAAGTTAAAAAAGAGAAACAAAATATAAATAAAAAAAATAATTTAAAAGGGAAACGAAGGATTTCTAAGAACTCCTACAAGTGTGCAAAAAAGCTTCTAAGAACCAGAGCTCATCTGTAGTGCGATTTTATCAGGAAAGAGGCAGGAACAAGACTATCACTCTTGTTGTTAAACAACACCTGTCAAAAGAAGCCTACCCTGATTCTTTTGGGGGTAGCATCCAAATCCATCATTTCAGCAACCAATTGAAATCCAACAGGACATTAAAAATATTCTGATTCACTAACACACATACATGTCAATATTCTCTGATTTTCAATTTTAATGAATTTATCATGATTTTTAATCAATATTTTACTTCCTTTTGGGGCTATATTTCTTTGAGAATGTGTCCTTCATGTGTTATTTTTCTCAGGAACTCCAAGGATAATTTGAAAAATATGGCTTCATCATTTTTCACTCATCAGATTGGCAAATGTGTCAGTTTGACAATGAAAAACATTGGCAAAAAGGTAGTCAAACAAGACTTCCATGCGCTGATGACAGAGGAAGGAGGGTAGACAACAGGCTTCATTTGTATCTATAATGTCTTCTTTCTTAAGCTGGTGATGTGAACAGGGTATTTCTTATATTATTCTCTATATTTTGTGCAATGTTTGAAGTTTTTCTTAATAAGAATTTTTAGAGTATGTCCTGTAACAGGACAGGTCACTTTGTTCACACACTGCCAAATATAAAGAAATAACTATGCAAGTCTAAGAAAGCAAGACACAAGCACTTTCCTAACTGGACAGCTCTGAACTACATGTGGCTATTCCCAGCAAGAGTGAGACTCCAGTGGGAAGTTGTGATTATCTCGTCACCAGGTGTAATTACAGCCTCTTTTTAAATGCCCACATGGGGGCCTCAGGAACCTAGAAATAATAACATTATTAAATTTAAAAAAATCAACCCCACATGAACCCAAATTCAGTTCAAACTCAATCTTTGAACTAAACTTATGATCCTCAGGTTTTGCTCACCCTAGGGTGCGGCAGGTTCCTCCTTAGTTCCAGGCCAAGAGAGGGTACTATTGTCCACCTCCCCTGAAAAAGTGCTAAGAGCACAGCATTGTGGGGAACTGGTCAGAACTGTTCAGCAGGGAGACCCCAGTCTATTTGACATGAAGCAAAGTCGAATTTTAAGGAAGTCATCAAAGGTCACTGCTAAAACTTCTGAGCTTGAATTCTCTCTTCTAATTTGGCTATTCAAAGCAACATAATAATATTACGAATAGATTCATCAACCACTTTCTCAATATAGCTTGTTATTAAGATCACACCGCAAGCCATCCAGTGAGGCACAATGGAACCAACATCATGATGGTATCTACAACCAGACAAATAAATTTGATGACATAAGGAGATACTTGTTTTATTTTATTATTATTATTTTAATCGCACAGGGGACTGGACTCAGAGTCATACTGCCTTTAAGAGTGTAGTTTAAGAAAATGGATACTTGGAATACAGAACTGCTCTTTTATTAGATACATCTTCTTCGTTGGCCTTGTTGGGAGTACAGAAATTAATAGCCTTATTTTTGTTCTAACTCAATCCTCACTCAGCAGTCTGTCTAAAATCATGACCTCTTTCTTCAACCAATCAACATGTTTAAAACCCTCCTATCACAAAAAAACCCCCCTTGACTGGTACCCCTTCTAGCATACTTTTACTTCTTGGTTTCTGGACAAGCTTCTTGAAAGAGTAATCTACATTCATGGTTTCCACTTCCTCAACTCTCATTTACTCCTCAATGCAACTAAATATAGCTGTGATCTGGCTTCTATCACACCATTCTATTAAATTATTTTCACTGACATTGACAAGAGCCCCTAGCCTCTGATGCCAAAGCTGCCTTCTAAAGCCAATCTATCTTACAGCAAGTTTCTGTTCTGACATGGGAAACAACACCCTTCCTTTGGGTTTGCACAGACAAACCACAGCTCATATACTCAGGGTTAGAGCCTGGTCACCATCCTTTCAGAGCTTTTGGGAAAATTTTCCAACCACAATTTTGCATTCTATCTAGAATTCTGTATGTTATACACCATATCAAGTATTATATCAATATTTTAGAGGTAAAATTTTACCACAAAATTATCACCTATTTTGTGCAAAATGGCTCCTTAAAACCTCAAGTATTACATCAGTTCACACTAATTTGAAAATCTTCTAAACATTCAACAAAATTGCAAGTGCTGCTACTGTAACCACTACAAAGCTTCTGTTTGCCTCAGAAATTCTTAGATTTCATAAGGAATTAGTTTTGCTGCTAATATTAACAAAAGCAGAAATCAATTTCATTAGGAATTATTAGTTACAAATGTTATATAATTATTTAAAATTATGAAGTAATTATGAAAAAAATGTATTTCTTGCATGATGCCAACACTCACATTACTAATAATAGAAACACTATACTTTCAACATTAATTATAATAAAAATTAGTGACCCTTGATGGAATCAATGATGGGTTTTTAAATATATGTGATCACTCACAGTCATATATATTCATATATTTTCCTCTGGTCCTTTCTTAAAAGTCAATGTTCTTCCAGCAACTATTTCTGCTTCCTATACTTCTCACTCTATATTCTCATAGAATTTCACTGTTTTAGCCACCACCTGATCACTTCCAGACATATTTCTCTAGCTCTGACATCCTTCCAAAACTTCATTCATCTACAGTAACTTCTTTTGAATATGCTACATCCAAGTTATATCAACATTTCCAAAATGGAACTCTCTCTTTATTCTTCCCAATACATAGTCTACTTCTCTGAAATTCAAAATCTCAGTTTTGTGACACAACTGCCCACCTGTCACCCAAAACAGGAATCCAAGAGTCACGTTTGACTACTTGCTCCAAACTCCAAATCCTGATCACCACAGTTATAGCCACTGCCCTTATGCAACCCCTCATATTTTCTCCCTGGATGCAGCAACAACAGCCTTCCAACCAGTACCCCAGCCTCTGCTGTGGAGCCTGGTGCACCATCACCCACACAGCCTAGAGCTAAGTAAAATGCAAACATGACCTCATGACTCTCATATTTAAAATTCACCAGTTTAAACACCTTATTCTGAATCTGCTTAGAGAACAGCACCCAAGACTTTCCATGCCCTAATTTCTGCCACTCTCTGAACCGTCAACTCCTACCACATCTTCCTGTATGAGTTATGTTCTAGCACAGCCCAGGCCAAGGCGGGGACTTACATTATATTTCTATTGGGCTGGACTATGCTAGAGTGTAACTTGAATAGGAAATTTTTTAAATGTTCTAGCTACATTTAAAAAGTGAAAAGAAACAGGCAAAGTTGATTTTATTAATATATTTCATTTTACCTAATATTATATATCTAAAATACTCATTTCACCATGTATTTAATTTGGAAAATTATGAGATATTTTACATTCCTTTTTTTGAACTAAGTCTTTGAAACCCAGTATGTGTGTATGTGTGTGTATATATATGTCTATACTTTTTTTTTTTTTGAGACTGAGTCTCACTCTTGTCTCCCAGGCTGGAGTGGAGTGGTGTGATCTTGGCTCCCTGCAACCTCCACCTCCCAGGTTCAAGCGATTCTCCTGCCTCAGCCTCCCGGTAGCTGGGATTACAAGCGTGTGCCACCACACAAGGCTAATTTTTGTATTTTTAGTAGAGACAGGGCTTCTCCATATTGGCCAGGCTGGTTTCAAACTCCTGAACTCAAGTGGATCTGCCTGCCTCGGCCTCCCAAAGTGCTGGAATTACAGGCAATGAGCCACCATGCCTTGACCTCAGTGTATATTTATACTTAAAGCACATATCTGTTGGAACAAGCCATATTTCAAGTGTTCACTAGCCACATGTGGCCAGTGGCTATGGACAACGTAGCTCTAGCACTAATAAAATGCTTGATGTTCTTCCTCATAGACTGTGCTTTTTTACACCTTTGTTCTTTTTTCCAAACTTACTCATATCATTCTTTGAAATTCAGCTCAGACAGCCCTTCCCATCTCCCAAACTGTGCGAAACGCAGACACTCTTCTTCCTTCCATGCTCATATTCCATACCACCACAGTACCTCCCAGGGCACAATGAATGCATCTATCTAAACTTTTGTCTCTCAGGCTAGAAGACTAGTTTCTCCAGAACAACATCCTACCAGATCTACTCATTTTTATACCCCAAGCATCTTGCAAAATGCTTATACATAGCAGTGGACAGATACGTCTTCACTGAATTCACAAGATTCAGAGTAGCATGCACACCACTGAAGCTGGAATTGAAAACTTAAATTGGGGGGGTTCCTGAGTAAACATATTATATCCTTGGTTAATTAAAAAATGCAAAGTTATATTGCAAAGATACACAGCTCTTTTATAGGTTCTCTTTCAATATAGAGCCTCCTTATAACATGATACCTATGGTCAGAGCTTGAGTTGAATAAAGAAATTTTAAAACTTTGGAGTTATAAGGGATCTTAGGCATGATCTAGTTATTTTGCAAATGAGTACAAAATAGGTGGAAGAGTTTAAGTGACAAACACAAATTGGAAAAATTAGCTAACACAGAATAGCACCGTAATCAGAAAGGTGCCCAGGTTCCTAGGTCCCTATAGCTTTCGTTACAGCACTCCGCTTCTGTGGCTGTGTCAACTATGCACATTAATCAAACAAAATGTATAATTAAAATCCATTTACAAATTAGAGAGAACCTATACTATTGCAAACCCTTTTGGTTGTTGTTGCTGTTACTACTGCTGTCAATTACTTCCAAGATGACACGGCAGAGAACATACTGTTACACGAATATTCCTTGTGCTACACTTTCTGGCCCCTCTATAGTCTAATGGGGCTACGTGACTCATTCTAGCCAATAAAGTATGTGTGAAAGTGAAACGTGTCCCTTCTGGGCAGAGACATTCAAGAGCTGGTGTGACGATTCCATGCTTCTGTTCCCTGACCCCAGAACTACTATTGGGCTGGCACTGCCACAGTCTGGAAGGGCCCTGGCTGCTTATGCTGAGTTACCACATGGAGGGGTCAACCACTGCAGACTCGGAGCATTTGCAAGAACAAGACATAACCTCGTTGTGCTAAGTGATTGAGGTTTTGAGATGTTTTTTCTGTTGCAGCAGCTCATGCTTAATTACCCTAACACAGCAAACTAAATTACACACATAGGGCTGTGCATCTTGAAGTTGAGTACTGTAACAAATGTAATTAATATGATATAAATTACTAAACGTAAACCCACTTAAAATATTTTTCTATTTTTGTTTTAAAATGATATGCTAAATTATACATTAAATTTAAGACGTATCAGGTATAAAACCTGATTAAAGTCCTATAAAATTATCAATGTCTAAAACACACAGTCAAAATCAAATGCTGGGCTGGGCACAGTGACTCACACCTATAATCCCAGCACTTTGGGAGGCCAAGGCAGGCAGATCACTTGAAGCCAGGAGTTCAAGACCAGCCTGGCCAACATGGCAAAACCCCCTCTCTACTAAAAATACAAAAATTAGTTGGGCGTGCTGGTGCACATCTATAATCCCAACTACTTGGGAAGCTGAGGCACAAGAAATGCTTGAACCCAGGAGATGGAGGTTGTAGTGAGCTGAGATCACATCACTGCACTCCAGCCTGGGTGACAGAGGGAGACTCTGTCTCAAAAAATAAAAATAAAAATAAAAATAAAAAAACGCTGAATCAGGTTTCAAGCACTACTTTTTCTAAAATGGCAATATCCCCATGAAATGACTATATCATAGTCATTGTCTGAGTCTAGGACCTAGAGTTTTCGTTCCACATGGTAATCATACACCATGAGAAATTCCTATTGGCAAGAGTTTCATGGAACTTCAATTAAGCTTCATTTGTTATCTCTGAGTAGCAGTGCGGTGTCACATTATTTCCAGAATTACAAAAAAGTTTTTATTATTACTGTCAGATGTACCTCTTTCAATTTTACTATTTGCTATTATTTCCCTATGGCCACATAGATTACAATACGTCCATCTTTAATTAAAAGCCACAGATGGAGTTTCGCTTGAAGGCTTGTCCGTGTAATCCCAGTTACTCAGGAGGCTGAACCAGGAGGACCACTTGAGACCAGGAATTCAAGACCAGTCTGGGCAACAGTAAGACCCCATCTCTTGAAAAAAAAAACAAAAAACAAAAAACATTTAGCCAGGCATGGCATGCACCTGTACTCCCAGCTTCTTGGGAGGCTGAGACAAGATGATCACTTGAGCCCAGGAGGTTGAGGCTGCAGTTGAGCCATGTTCATGCCACTGCACTCCAGCCTAGGCAACACAGTGAGACTCCATCTCTTAAAAAAAAAAAAAGCCACAGATGTCATTTTGGGGGAAGATTAAGAATGTACAATTTGAATCTCATGACTGTACCCATAGGGATGTCAAGGGATGTCAGTATAAGACTGTAGTGGAACATTTGGAAAGAGAGTTGTCAATTTCAGAGAAAATTCTCTTCACCAGGTACAGCAGCTCACAGCAATAGCTAATTTACAAACTGAAACCATGATTACTTTGTGTTTCAACAAAAATAGTTC